>NC_000006.12:156282911-156434426 GCF_000001405.40 Homo sapiens
ATATTTGGTTGAAAATAAAAGAGTTAATAAAAGTGCCAAATTCTACCACATTTCTACCACTATTTAAACTAGTTACTTTATCGTACACACACTTCCTGAGGTTTGAGCTCTTAGGCAACGTGAAAGGACGTGGTGGCATCATTTGATAGGCTTGGTTTGGTAGGCAGAGTACTCAGCTGACTCCCATAATTTTTGTCTCTTTGTGTCCCTTTTGCCCATGATTATGTTCTATTGCATGGCAAAAGACATTGTGTAAATGTAATTAAGGTCACTAATCAGCTGACCTTGAATTAATCAAAGGAAAGGTTATCTGAGAGAGCCTCAGCTAATCATATGAGAACTTTACAAGCAGAGAGTTTTCACCAGCTGGTGGCAGAAGAGGAAGGCAGAGATTCAAAGAGTTACATGGGATTCAACATGAATGAAGTCCTCTGTTGCGGAGATAAGAGAACCATGCATAAGGACTTCAGTGTGTGCACTGGGAGCTGAGAGTGTCCCTTGGCCAACAGCAGGCAAGAAAATAAAGACTTCAATTCTACAATCAAAAGGACCTGAATTCTGACAACAATCTGGATGAGCTTAGAAGGGAATTTTTTTCCAGAACCTCCAGGTTAATTCCAAACCCCTTGATTTTGGTCCTGTGAGACCCTAAACAGGGGACCCAGTTGTGTCTACCCAGATTTTTGATCTACAGACCTATGAGATGATAAATGGGTATTGTTTTCGGCTGTTAAATTTGTGGTACTTTGTTCCACAGCAATAGAAAATGAATCCACTTGATATTAATTGAGAACTGGTCTCCAAACTTTTTCCACTATTCTCCTGCTCAAAGTCTCCCTTTCAACCAAATTGTATTTAATGGCTCCTAAATATACCTTTTGCTTTCTCCTATTCTGTATTTACGCACATTATTTCACCATTCTGGAAGGCCCGTTTTCTGTTTAATCAACATCTTTGAGACCAACTCAGATGTCATGAATGAAAGGATCCTAATACAGCCTGCAGTTCTCTCTCCAAAATCGAGTACTCTTCACCTGTATAATCTGTTGTCAATTAATCATGTCCCACTTTATGGTACATTTTCTATGTGGTCTGTATCCTTATTTTATTACTACCTAGTTTTTGTTAATTAGTGAGGATCTTGAAAGCAAGGGCTCCTAATTTTTATGCCTCACTCTACCCTTTATATACCTTGCACATCACAGGCACCCAATAAATATTTGTTCAATTGTTTTGTTCTAAAGTATCTCTCTTCAATGTTAATGAGATTAAATGACACCAAAAGTCCAAAGAAAACCTTATTAGCCAAGCAGTAGGAATCTCAGCAGTGACCTGCCCCACATTCTGCGTGGCCTTTAACTATCGTGAACCCTAAACACACTTAAACTGTCAAAATTAAAAATGTAACTGCAAAAACAAGATAATCACAGAAAATAATTTTTGCCAATTGATTTGTGCGACTTTCAATGACATTGTAAGCACCCAACTATTCCCTGAGCTGCCAATTTGCCTAGGAAGGGATGTTCTCCACAGACTGTATTTACAAAGAATACACCATTCACAGGAATGTGCAGGAGAGGAAAAGCACCAGAGAAAATACAAAGAGTTTTGAACGAAATGCTGTTAACAATTAAGAATGATCAACAGAACAGGCTTGAAGAGGCAAGGGCCGGAAGTTACTTGTAGCGTTGCAAACCAGGTAATTTGGTATAATCCCTTGAAATACAAATGGGGCTTAAAATCCCAGCTTAGACATTTACTCAACTAAATGAACCTATTTTAAAGTTTCGGGGAAAAGCAACAAGAATATAATTTGGAAAAATAATGAGAGTCAACTTTGTCACAGCCCAGTGCCTCCCTCTGACGTTACCACCCAACCCCATAGCAACATGTTGTTCCACAACCGTCTGAAAATTAAACTTGAGCCTTAAAAATGTCACTATCTATTTTTCTTTGTTTCTCAAAGGAAAATGTAAAATAAAAATCAATTTTACATGCATTTTATGTGCTCTCTAATATATATAGAATCATAGAATCTGAGTGCTGGCTGAGACTCTGGCAGGCTATTTTGTTTATTCTTCTACATTAGGCAGGCCCACACTTAATCCTTCCTTGATAGGAAAATCTCTATCATTTTTAAAGACTTTCAGAGAAGGAGATTTCTTAGACTCTCTCGAACCTACTAAGGTAGTTAATAACTTTTCTTATTATCTAGCCTAAATCCTTCACACTATGCTTAAGACTCATTTCGTCTTCTCTGACGTTCACTAGAGGCAGGAGAAAATTTATCACTCTCTTTCATATAAGAAATATTCATATACTGATAATAATTATGGCATCGGCTCTGCAATCTCCTAATGAAATATTCCACAGCTATTGTGCTTCTCTGCTAAACTTTCTGCAATTTCTCCTGCCCTCTTTTATCTATAAACCTCAAAATGGTTGCCAACCTCTGTTAAGGATTTAATTACCTGATACTGAAATCTTTGATAGTTCTTGTATGTTACACCTTGGGCATCCATCCAGGGCCATATCTCAGGAATATAGGAGGAAATAAATCATCCAAGGCTTTCCTCACTCCAGCAAATAATTTTATGAAGATAATTTAGTTGAAATGAGTATTGAGGGCAGCTATGAAATGTGAAAATAAGTCACAGAAAGGTTGCCTATATAGAAAAAAACCCTGAAAGTAAATATATCGCAATGTTGATAGCAGATGTCCCTGGATGATGGTGGAGCTATGTGCATGTGTGATTTTTCCTTCTTTATACTTTTCTATATTTTCCAAACTTCTTGTTATATGTATGTGTTAATTTTCAATGAGAAGAGAGCATGTGTGTGTGTGGCAGGGATGGGGTGTATTGACTGAAAGGGGTAAGGAGGAACTGCCTGAGAGAGTTATAAGGAGGGGAGGTGGTAGATGATCAACTGAAAATTGCCCCTGTTTTAGCACTAAAAGTCTTGTATCTCAGGAAAGCACTCAGACCCAAGCTAATCTGGATAGTAGATCACCTCAGAAGTAAACAGGCTAGGGGACATTGTAGTTGCTGCCCATGGCAAACTAGGAATGGGAGTAGCGCCCAAGTCATTATTTTTCCCACCAGCATGCAATTTGGAAAGATGATGAAAGTCAGCATCATCATTCACCTTTTCCCCATGTGAAGTTGACTTTCATTACTTTTCCACCTCCCTCCCTTATAACTTTCTCAGGCAGCTCCTCTTTATTCCTCACAATCCATTCCCTCCTTGCCACACACACACATACTGTCTACTCATTAAAAATTAACACCTACACATAACAAGAGGCTTAGAAAATGTAGAAAAATATAAAGGAGGAAAGACCACACTATGCACACAGTTCCACCATCATTCATGGGCTGCTAAGGACGCTTAAGTTTTGGTGACCCAAATGCATGAAAAGGTAGAAACGACTGTGTGTTCTGACCATTTTCTCTTTTTCATCGACAGAGCCACTTGCAGGTTTAGTCAAAGTAATAAGATCATTGTCGACTGGATCAGAACAGAAGATTCTAGGCTTGTTTTGCTTTTTATTTATGTAGTTTTTTCCTATTCAGGTCACAAGAACTCAGAAACACCAGGACCACAGTTTGACAGCCAACTTCAAGGCACAACTTTGGGTTGGCGTGTTGACTCTAGTACCTGACGTCGGTTTCTACCCACGGAGCCAGCTCTGTGAAAAACTGTGCCGCAGGGACACAGTGCTGACTTTTCACCGACCTCCACTCAGAACCAGCCTTCCCCTCACCAGGAACCTGGCGACTATCCTTGTTGCGGTGAGGAAATTGGTTTTTAAAAGTGTTTTGTGGTAACAGTGGATCCTTAGGAGATAGCATAATAACACTGGACAGGAGCAAGGTTTCAGGTAAGGCACACAAAGCTCAGACAAATCTACTGGCAAATTCACTCACTCACCTCTCAGCCTCCATTTACCTCCCTGGAACAGCAGTAATAACCATACTTAACTCCTAGGTGGTACAGTTACCTCTAATATCCCTGGAACAGGCAAAATACATAGAACACATAATAAGCATGTGTGTGTACATGTGTATAAAATACATGTATATACACACACACCAGCCAGAAAAGAGCCATAGTAGGAGTCTTCTAGAATACTTCATCATTTCTTAAACACTTATCCAATGCTCACTGGAGGGCAGACTGGGCCAAATATGAGAATACAAGATGAATCAGACATGGCCTCTGTCCTCCAGGGGTTGACAGTCCAGTCCAGGGAACAGGTGTATTCCCTGGACTGGACTTAACAGATGTATTCCCTAAGCAGGTCATTTCAGTACCATGCAGTCAGCTCTCCAAGAGCTCTCTCAACAATGAAGCACATGGGTAGCCAGTGTTCTGAAGACTAAGATGAGGGACACTTTACACAGCAGAGATGACCTTGGAACTCAACCCTGTAGATAACAATTTTTAAGGCTGGGCAAGTGGCTCACGCCTGTAATCCCAGCACTGTGGGAGACCAAGGTGGGTGGATCACCTAAGGCCAGGAGTTTGAGACCAGCCTAGCCAACATGGCAAAACCCCGTCTCTACTAAAAATACAAAAATTACCCTGGCGTGGTGGTGTGCGCCTGTAATCCCATCTACTTGGGAGGCTGAGGCAGGAGAATCACTTGAACCTGGGAGGCAGAGGTTGCAGTGAGCCAAGATTGCACCCCTGCACTCCATCCTGTGTGACAAAGCAAGACTCCATCTAAAAAATAAATAACAATTTTTAATTTTTTCAATTTTAAAAGCATACATCTTCACTATCAAAAAATTCAGAACACGTAAGCACAAATAAGCACATTATACTCATTTGTAGTCCCAATGCCACAAGATAAACAACTTTTAGCATTTTTATATCCTTCCAGAATGTTTCATATAAATACATATGTAAAATGCACATATGGGGCTGGGTGCGGTGGCTCACGCCTGTAATCCCAGCACTTTGGGAGGCCGAGGCGGGCGAATCACAAGGTCAGGAGATTGAGACCATCCTGGCTAAAACGGTGAAACCCCGTCTCTACTAAAAATACAAAAAATTAGCCAGGTGTGGTGGCGGGCGCCTGTAGTCCCAGCTACTTGGGAGGCTGAGGCAGGAGAATGGCCTGAACCCAGGAGGCGGAGTTTGCAGTGAGCCGAGATCACACCACTGCTCTCCAGCCTGGGTGAGAGAGCGAGACTCCATCTCAAAAAAAATGCATATATGTATCCTTAGTGAGGATTCTATAACACACAGTACTTTGCAATCTGATTTTTTTTCACTTAAAAATATGGCATGAACAGTTAAATATTTTTAAAAATTAAGTGCAACTTTTTAAATAGCTACATTGTATTCTACCATAATGCATGTATGCATATGTTGTCTAATCCACTCTTCTAACAGTTTCCAGCTGTTACACTGAACATTCCTAGTCCATAGGAACTAGAAGATTTATTTAACAGGAGCAGTGGCTTGAACCTGGGAGGTGGAGCTTGCAGTGAGCCGAGATCACACCACTGCACTCCAGCCTGGGCGACAGAGCGAGACTCTGTCTCAAAAAAAAAAAAAAAAAAAAGAAAGAAAGAAAGAAAAAAATCAAAATAAGAGAAATGCGGTCTACAGTCTCTTTCAAACTTCTGCAACCACAGCCCTGTCTGCACAGGACACCTGTTGACAGCTTGGAGATTACCAGCGCTCTGACCGTGACCTAGAGAAACGCCAGGCAGGCGCTCCCAACTTGATTCCTTACAATGACAATACAAAGCAGCTAATTGACCTTGCCTGCAACAGAACAGGTCAAATACCAAACGGAGAAGAGCAATAAAGGAAATAAAGTCTTTCTGTGTCATCGTTCATCACACATTTCTTTCTACATTCTTACATCTCTGAAGCACGAAACCAGGACGTGTCTCAGAGTCAGTGGCATCTGACAATCTCTGTCTGCCTTATGGTAATTGCAAACGAGTTCTTACCATCCAACCATGACTGAACATCAGCAGTGTGGGGAAAAAAATCCTGAAAAAAGAGAGGCACACTCTTGAGTTCTGGTAAGAACTCAGAATCAGTTGGCCGTGGAAGACAGGTTGGGAGGGAGTGCCAAGAAGTGATCAGCCGCATTCCTGAACCACAGCACACTAGCTCTCCCCTGAATTCCAAAGCCAAGTAAAAAGCTCTGTGCCAATGGTCTTTTGCTACTTTATAGGTTCTTTTAAGAAATGATGAGTCACCAGTGTCTTCAATGTAATAGGTATCTACAAAATCATGGACATCAATGATGCTCAATGAAGAGTGAGACAGAAGAACTGAACTCTTGATGTAAAGAAGCTTAGGAATACTTTAACCCACCTTAGGAATACCTTACCCAACCAACCTTGAAATTTTCCCAGTCCTCAGACAGCATGAGGCTGTCACAGAGGCAAACCTTTCCAACCAGCTTAGTCCCATTTACCTTCCTTGTTCTTGTAGGCGTAAGAGTGACCAATGATAAAAACTTGTGTCTAAGTTCAAACGGTTCTTTCAATAAGCATAAAATAAAATCAAAATGATAAGAAAACTTTAGATCACAGCTTAATGGGCAGTGATTTTTCCTCCTTCATGGTATCTAAAATGACGGGGCATTTAAACTCAATTGTGACTTGGAATTAATAAAATGGGTAACTGGCTTTTAAAAAGAGTATTTTACCCAATTCTCTCTTTCTCTCTAAAACATTTTGGATTTTATTCTTGAATAGCTAAAATTCCCAAGGAAATTCAATTCACTTCCTTTAGAGTAAAATTTTGAGAACTGCCCTTGGTTACCTTATTCTTTAAGGTCTCGGAATTGTCACTCTGCTCTTGCTGAAAGTGGCAAGCCAGCCACCTCCTAAAGCAAATCTCCATAACAGGCTTTCCTCAAGAACAAGGCTTTGCCTTAGACCAAGTCTCCAGAGAAAATTTGGCCTCTTCTAAGTTTGTGTTTTCCTCTGCAATTCTCTTTTTATAGTTGAAGCTAGTGGTAAGGTCATCCAGCCTCAGCTGGTCTCAATTATACCCCTCTGTCTGAAGCAGAGGCTGGGGGACACCCAGCACTGTCTCTGGCTCCTTCACTTCCCCTCTATGAAATGACAGAATTCGATAAGATATTTTCCAGGTCCCTACAGCATTAATATTCTATGCTTTATGTTGACTTCTCAAAAAGACCAAAAGTATTGGTATTTCCTTTGTATTGTATACAAAACAAGTATATTATATGAAATTAACCATTTTGCCTTAATAAGCAGATATAGATCTTTTTGTTTTAGTTTGGTTTTTTTATTTGGTTTGGTTTTTGTTTTTGTTTTTTTTTGAGACAGAGTCTCGCTCTGTCGCCCAGGCTGGACTGCAGTGGCACCATCTCAGCTCACTGCAAGCTCTGCCTCCTGGGTTCATGCCATTCTCCTGCCTCAGCCTCCCAAGTAGCTGGGACTACAGGCGCCCACCACCACGCCCAGCTAATTCTTTTGTATTTTTAGTAGAGACGGGGTTTCACCATGTTAGCCAGGATGGTCTCGATCTCCTGACCTCGTGATCCACCTGCCTCAGCCTCCCAAAGTGCTGGGATTACAGGTGTGAGCCACTGCGCCCAGCCCAACAAGCAGATATAGATCTTTACAACTCTCACAGCATACTGCTGATCAATGAAACCTATAAAAAATTAACATTTTTCAAAAAGTCACACAACATATACCAGCAACACTCTGAATTGTTTGCCTTCTGTTTTTTGTTTGTTTGTTTTTTGTTTGTTTTTTTGAGACAGAGTCTTGCTCCATCACCCAGACTGGAGTGCAGTGGCATGACCTTGGCTCACTGCAACCTCCACCTCCCAGGTTCAAGCAATCCTCCTGCCTCAGCCTCCCGAGTAGCTGGGATTACAGGCGAGTGCCACCACACCCAGCTAATTTTTGCGTTTTCAGTAGAGACGGGGTTTCACCATGTTGGTCAGGCTGGTCTCAAACTCCTGACCTCAGGTGATCTGCCTGCCTTGGCCTCTTGAAGTGCTGGGATTACAGGCATGAGCCACTGTGCTCGGCCTGTTTTTTAAAATTATTTATTTTTTCATCCTGAAAGTAACCAGATGTGCTAGGTCTTAACAAGATTCCTAAATTGAGATGGGCAGTGATGATGAAGTTAACTATTAATGTTATCTACAGCTCCTAGACTACAAGGCTGTGAGGTCAAGTTCATATTCTCTTTGTTTGCTGTGATATCCTGAGCACAGAACATGGTGCATAGTACATAAGCATAAACAGCTATTTACTGAAGGAAGAAATTAATGACTCAATAGCATTGAGAAACAGGAAATGAGGGAAAAATTAATTTTTACATGCCTGCTACATATGTACATTTTATACCACTGCAAATAAGTACAGATAATTTAATTAAACTAACATTCTTCTAAACTTTCTCTCCTCCAGCACACATTCTGAAATACAGAAACAACACTTGCATTTTTATTGATCATAGAGCAATGGGTGATTGATATTGAAATCTGTAGGATTACTTGTAGTATACATGCACATGCATCTTTTCAATCACTGATTATCAACCAGACAGCCTCAACCATAGCAAAAGGGGAGTCGTAATCTAGATATTTGAAATCTTTTTTTTATTTTTAATTTTTGAAGACTTAGCCTCTTGAGAGAAACTTTGAAGAAAACATTGAATGGAGAGATAGGCCTTTAAATACCAGGATTATCACTCCCTAAAATAGATATGTCGCAGACTCCCCAAACAATGATGGGAGATGCTCTTAGGTGGCAGAAAATTTACTTTTCTTTTTTTTTTTTTTTTTTTTTTTTAAGAGACAGGGTCTCTCTTTGTCACCCAGGCTGGAGTGCAGTGGTGCAATCATAGCTCACTGTAACCTTGAACTTCTGGGCTCAAGCGATCCTCCCACCTCAGCCTCCCAAGTAGCTGTGACTACAGGCATGCACCACCATGCCCGGCTAATTTTTTTATGTTTTATAGAGATGAGGCCTCACTATGTTGCCCGGGTTTGTCTCAAACTCCTGGACTCAAGTGTTTCTCCCACCTTGGCCTCCCAACGTGGTGGGATTACAGGTGTGAGCCACCACACCTAGCTGAAAAATTACTCTTAAGGAAGACAAAGGTAAAATTCTTGAGAGTCTTGTGACAAAGGAGAAATGAGCTTTTGGGTGTGGTACAGGGAAATAGAATCATATAGCCTCTAACAGTCCCCCAGAGGTATCTCAGAGGAAACGGGAAGCCTGTTCCTAG
The DNA here is from genome assembly GCF_000001405.40 of Homo sapiens. Classification (NCBI taxonomy): domain Eukaryota; kingdom Metazoa; phylum Chordata; class Mammalia; order Primates; family Hominidae; genus Homo; species Homo sapiens. The sequence goes on from NC_000006.12 coordinate 156,292,167, forward strand.
ATGCCTGCACCCTTGTGAGCAGACAGAGGAAGGAACACAGCAACAGCTTCAGTTGCCCAGAGCCTGTGGGGATGATAAGAACAACAGGACAGTGTGGGGCTGCCAGGTGACCTAGCAAGAAAGGAGGAAATGGCAGGGTTTGAATGCCTATGCCTTTACTGGTTTGGGGCTCTGAGACAAGAGGCCCACTGGCATTTGGATTCGGGGTCTTGTTTATCCCTGGTTTTAGTATGCCTTAGAAAGGGAAGAATAATAACACTGAAGTTACTTAATATTTGAGATATACATCCAAATTCTTACTATCTTCCCTAACTAGTTTGCTGAAATCCCAGAATTCTAATAAAAATTAGTATTCTTAACCAAAATTCATGAAATTCATCCACCAAACTAATCTGGAAATTGTCAGGACAAGCTTCTTATCATCTGTCAGCATTTCTGGATCTTTCCATGTTCAAAGGAAATATTGATGTGCAGGAAAAAAAAAAGATAGGAATGGAGAGGTGGTGAGCAGGGGAGAATGTAATTCTGATATTTTTCAAACCATAAAAAAAGTTTGAATCAGGCAGGGCATAGTGGCTCATGCCTGTAATCCCAGCACTTTGGGAGGCTGAGGCAGGTGGATCACTTGAGGCCAGGAGTTTGAGACCAGCCTGACCAACATAATGAAACCCTGTCTCTACTAGAAATACAAAAAATTAGCTGGGCGTGGTGGAAGGTGCCTGTAATCCCAGCTACTAGGGAGGCTGAGGCACAAGAATTGCTTGAACCCAGGAGGCAGAGGTTGCAGTGAGCTGAGATCATGCCACTGCACTCCAGCCTGGGCAACAGAACAAGATTCTTGTCTCAAAAATTAAAAAAAAAAAGAAATAAAAAAAAGTTTGAATGAGGAAATGCTGTTATCTATCACAACAACAGAAGTGTACACCTTAGGTCTATGCTTTTATGATTCTATGCATTATCCCAATGTATTAGCTAATCATAAGCACCACACTATACATTTTTGTCAGGTTGGGTAATTTAATTGGTCATATGTGACTAAATATTATAAAGTCAAGTGATAAATTACAACCTGATACAATCACTCAAATCATCTTCATAGATCACAGAGTTATATATTCAATACATGAATATTCAAGAACATAAAACTAGTAGCACAATTTTTCACAGTATGAAGTTATTTGGTGGGGTCAGGGAGAAGTAGGAATAAAGACTTATTTCATCCAAGCATTCTAATACTTATTTGTTCTGAAGAAAAAAAATGCAACTGCTGTATTGCCCTTATTTGGCAGGAGTTTAGAATGTCTATTTTTACCATTCTTTCATTGAAGGAAAGTTGGGTAGGGGAAGAGATACAAGCTAGGAGCATTGTGTATAGTCCATTCTCACACTGCTATAGAGAACTACCTGAGACTGGGTCATTTATAAAGAAAAGAGGTTTAATTGACTCACAGTTCTGCAGGCTGTACAGGAAGTATGGTTGGGGAGGCCTCAGAAGACTTACAGTCATCACGGAAGGGTGAAGAGAAAACAATCAACTTCTTCACATGGCAGAGCAGGAGGAAAGAGTGAAGGGGGAAGTGCTACACACTTTTAAACAACCAGATCTCAAGAGAGCTCACTCACTATCACCAGAACAGCAAGGGGAAAATCTGCCCCCATCATCCAGTCACCGCCCGCCAGCTTCCTCCCCCAACACTGGGGGATTACAATTCAATATGAGATTTGGGTGGGGACACAGAGCCAAACCATATCACATGGTTATAGTCTTCTCCCTACATGGGACCCCTTTCCACCCTCCCTTCCTCTCTTCTGTATGTGTGGCCCAGTCAAGTTGCTTCTCACTCTGTGCAGAGACCTGCAGGAAGAAGGTTTAACTGAAGGCCTCTGACCAGGGCTACCATCCTTTGTTAACTTATCTTTGCACCTTCCTACATAGGCCTGCTCAGAGACGGGGAGACATAGGGTGTGGCACTGAGGGAGAGCCTGTGTCAGAGCACGAGCTGAGTGGAAACGAGAGATGCTTGTCTGTGCTGACCCTCGCCTCCCTAGCAAAAGATGAGGTGGACTTCCAAATTCTCTCTGAGGAGAATATGACAAATACTAGCCACTCTGAGCAAGAATCAGTCAAACATAAAATCCTTGTTGATTCTGAAAGTCCCAAGCCTTCCTAGACAACCCATCAAGAAGAAACCAGTACCTGTCTCCATGGTGCCTCACATAAATGCGTAATGGATCAGTAGGTAATTGTGAGGCCAATGTCATTTCATCACATTGGAAGCAGGAAAATTGAGAAACAAGTCAGAGGGAAAGTTGAGGAAATCCAGAGATTAACAAAATCCCAATGCGACAAGATGCATTTCTCTACTTCCAAAGAATCACAGCTCTATCCAAGTAGCACGTATTTTATATAACATTTTTAACTATGTATTTCATTTGATTAAAGCTCTCCAAGCATGCAGGTAAATTATATCATCAAAATGAACCCCATCTGGGTGTTCCTACCATGAAAAGATGCTTAATCACTGATGAAGAATCACTCTCTCCGTAGTCTTTTCCAAACAGCATTCCAGGAGTCAGCAATAGCCATTCTGTGGGCAAAAACAAACAAACAAAAAAAAGATAAACAAAAGTCCAGGCTGGAAATACATTTTCATATATGTGTAAATTCAGATCTCCCTCCCATGGAACCATATTTTTTTCATATATACGACAAAATATATATGGCTCCACAGGAGGAAGATCTGAAACTACACCTGCTATAACAATCCAACATGACTTCTGATATCAGGTGACTACATCATCAAAAAAATACAAATATGGAAAACTGTTGTCATTGTTTTAATAAAAATATTTTTGTATGCCACATATTAGAGTAGAAAAAATAAAATGTGTGTGATATATGCATATATCGCCCTAAAATTCAGGCCACGCTGCAGAACAGCACAAGAAATCATGTGACGTATGGATTTCACCCACTTACCTCTGGCCTGTGCCACTACACAGCTGTATATTTCCAATTTAGAATTGGGATGTTGCAGTTCATTTCATATTAAATATTACATTTCATTGTTCCCATGACTGAAGGACATTTTACATGAAAATGTTTTAAAAAGTCATATCTTGTTTTTGAATGATCTGAGCAAAACAAGAAAAATGCTAGAATACTTCAAGGAAGAGAAACTGTAGCTCTGAGTTCTAAAAAATCAGTAGGGGAGCTGTACAAGATGAAACAGTAATTTTTGGAACAACCTAATTCAAAAGAACTCAACTGCTGTAACATGTGCAGTGATGTTTCTCTTCCATTTATTAAAGAAGAAGTCCTGTGGAATGACAGACTTCTCAGCTATGAATGAAACAAAGGTGGGGCTCCATGGGAGGAAGATCTGAGTCTACGCCCGCTATACCAATCCAACATGACTTCTGATATTAGGTGGCTATGTTATGCTAAAAATGCTACAAATATGGTATAGTGTCTCATTGTTTTAATGGAGATATTTTTGTATGCCACATTTTAGTGTAGAAAAAATAAGTGATGTTTTACTATTTCTGAATATACTTGGCTCTTAATAAAATATAAATGATTACATTTACCTAATTTGTTTTTTGTTCTGTTTTGATAAATTAAATTTGATCACTTCTTGTAGCAATTAATTTATCCAAGAAATCTTTCCCAGCTACTTTAATCCAAGCTCACGTTATATCTAATGAAACCCTATTGAAGTTTCAGCAACAGATTATAATTTTTAAATTGCCTTATATTAAAAATAAAATGAGTTTAGCTTTGCATTAAACACACAGCCAGAGTAAGCTGTGTGTGCCCAGCAGGTAAGTGAAAAGTCCACAGGACTTCCAGTTTCCGGCCTAGGATATTAGGTGTTCAGAAGTCGTCACGTCATCCTAAAAAGTAAAAAGCTGAACAAACTGAAAAATCAACAACTCTTCTTAGATCTGTGAAAGAAGTAAGATCACAGTACAAACTGCCACCCCCAAAGTTGGAGAAATAGAGAAGCAGATACAGAGAAATACAATTTACCAGAGCAGAATCCTCCTAGCAGAAACCCTGCGGGAACCAGGTAGGAGAACTTGAACTGTAATTGGCAAATTGCTAGAAGTACAGTGTAGATCATCTGAGAGATAAAAACTCCAATGAGACCTAGTTACATCAAGAACTCCACACTTTTGAGAGTTTTACCTACAGTCCTCACAGTGAAAAACAGGTAAACAAAAATAAACAAAGAAACAACCAAACAAAAAACCTTCATGCTTCCAAAAGGAAGAAGGAGAAAATGAACCATTTGGAAATACACCAGAGCATTCAATTCTTGTTAATAAGGCCTGTCCTCCAGAGAAGCTATTTAAAAGCCTAAACTGTTGGGGTTTCATCAGTTTAAGTGGGGGAAGGAAAATATCTAACTCCAGTCTGCTCTAGCCTTCCATGTGGGAAAAGAGAAATAGCTAACTTCAGCCCACTGTTGTGAAGTTAATAATTCAAAGGCACAGGCTCACTATTTCTGAATATACTTGGCTCTTAATAAAATCCCCCATCCCCCTACAACTCACCACTGCCAACTCAAGAGTGTTAAGAGGTGGGGCCTAATGGGAAGCATTTAGATCATAAGGGCTCTGTTCTCATGACTGTATTAATATTATTATAAAAAGAGTTGACATCAATGGGATTGCTGTCTTCACTCTTCTGCCCTGTGAAACAGTTTGTCCCTTTTTACCTTTCCACCTTTTGCCATGTGTGGACACAAAAAGGGCCTCACTAGAAACCAGATGCTAGCACCTTGATTTCAGACTTCATAGGCTCCAGTACTATGAGAGAATACATTTCTCATGTTTTAATACAATTATCCAGACTGAGGCATTCTGTTATAGCAGCACAAAACAGACTAATACACATGCTAAGGGTTCTAATGGATAAAGTAGACAGCATGCAAAAACAGATGGGAAATTTGAGCAAAGAGATCATGATTCTAAGAAAGAATAAGAAAGAAATCCTACAGATCAAAACACTGGGACAGAAATGAAGAATTCTTCAATGTGCTTCTCAGTAGATTGGACACAGCTGAGTATAGAAGTTCTAACCTTGAGGGTATGTCAATAGAAACATCCAAAACAGAAAAACAAAGAGAAAAAAGATTGAGAAATAAACCAAGGAGAATATCCAAGTGTGGGACAATTACAAAAGATGTAACATATGTGTAAAGGGAATACCAAAAGGAAAAGAAAGAAAGAACAGGCAAAATGTTTAAAACAATAATGACTGATGATTTTCAAAAATTAATGTCAAACACCAAACCAAAGACACAGGAAGCTCAGAGAATACCAGAAGGACACATTTTTAAAGAAAAGTACACATAGACATATTCAAACTGCAGAAAATCAAAACTAAAGACAAAATCTTGAAAGAAGACATGAAAAATAAACTTACCTACAGAGGAGCAAAAATAAAAACTACATCCAATTTATCCTCAGAAACCATGCAAGCAAGAAAAGAGTGAAGTTAAGTATTTGAAGTGTTAAGAGAAAAAAGAAACCCACCAACCTAGAATTTTGTACCCTGAGAAATTATCCTTCAAAAGCGAAAGAGAAATCTAGACTTTTTCTGACAAACAAAAACTGACGGAATTTGCTGCCAGTAAATCTGACTTCTAAGAAATGTTAAAAGAAGTTCTTGTGCCAGGCACAGTGGCTCATGCCTGTAATCCCAGCACTTTGGGAGGCCGAGGTGGGTGGATCATGAGGTCAGGAGTTCAAGACCAGACTGGCCAACATAGTGAAACCCTGTCTCTACTAAAAATACAAAACTTAGCCGGGCATGGTGGCGGGTGCCTGTAATCCCAGCTACTCAGGAGGCTAAGGCAGGAGAATCACTTGAAACTGGAAGGGGGAGGTTGCAGTGAGCTGAGATTGTGCCACTACACTCCAGCCTGGGTGAAAGAGCAAAACTCCATCTCAAAAAAAAAAAAAAAAATTCTTCAGAGAGAAGGAAAACAAAATGCGTCAGAAATGCAAATCCAGATAAAGGGAGAGCATTAGAAAAGAAATAAGTGAGGGTAAAAATAAGAACATTTATTTTACTTATTCATAATTGACCTAACAGATAACAGTTTGTTCAAAAAAATAATAGCAACAATGTATTTGAATACATACACACACAGACATCACACACACACTTTGCACACTTCTGTATAATTGAATGAATGAAAGCAATGATACAATGGACAGGAAAGAGGAATCAGGATTATTTTATTATTGTCAGGTACTTGTACTATCCATGAATTGGTATTGTGTTATTTGAAAGTAGACTTGGATTAGTTGTAAATACATACTGCAAACCCTCAGGCACCCACCAAAAAAAAAAGAAAAAAATAACTGATATACTATAAAAGAAGAGAAAAAATAATGATATAAAGTACAGAATTAAAACCACAAAAGGCAGAAAAAGAGTGGAAGACAAAAATAGAGACAAAGAACCATGACAACAAATAGAAAACAGTAACAAATATGGTAGATATCAATGCAACTATATCAATAACCATTTTAAATGTCAATGGCCTAAATACACCAATTAAAAAACAGATTGTCAGAAACAAGACCCAACTATATGCTGTCTACATGAAATCCACTTTAAATATAAATACACATATAGATTACAAATGAAGGCATGGAGAAAAGATATATATGAAATCCACTTTAAATATAAATACACATATAGATTACAGGTGAAGGCATGGAGAAAAGACATACCTGAAATCCACTTTAAATATAACTACACATACAGATTACAGATGAAGGTACAGAGAAAGGTAAACCATGCTAACATCTGTCAAAAGAAAGCAAAAGTTATTATGTTAATTTCAAACAAGGTAGACTTTAGAGCAAGGAAAGACATCAGGAGTAAAGGGGAGCATTACATAATCATAAAATGATCAACACTCCAAGAAGATGTAACAGTCTTTAACATGTATGTACCTAAACAACAGAGCATCAACATAAGTATGGCAAAAACTGAGAACCATAAGGAGAAATAGATCAATCCACTATTATAGTGAGAGAATTCAACACCCCTCTATATAAAATGAACAGATCCAGCAGGCAGCTAATCAGTAAGGATATAGTTGAACTGAACAGCACCATTGATCAAATGATACAATTTGCGTCTCTTGACCCAACAACAGCAAAATGCACATTATTCTCAAGTTCATATGGAACATTCATCAAAGTAGATCACATTCTGGGTCATAAAACAGAACTTAATAAATTTAAAGTATAGAAATCATACACTGTCTGCTCTTAGACTACAAAGGAATTAAACTAAATAAACAGAAAGATAGTTGGAAGATTCCCCAAATACTTGGAGGATAAACAACACATTTATAAATAACACAAGTATCAAAAAGGACATCTCAAGAGAAATGTTAAAATATTTTGAACTAAATAAAAACAAAAATACAACATTAAAATGTATGGAATACAGCTAAAGTAGTGCTTAGAGAGAAATGTATAGAATCGAATGCATGTATTAGGAAAGAAGAAAGATTTAAATCAATAATCTAAGTTTCCAACTTAAGAAACTGTAAAAAGAAACACAAAAGAAATCCAACATAAAAAGAAAAACTAAATAATAAAAATTACAAAAGAAATCAATGAAATTGAAAATAGGAAATCAATAGAGAAAATCAACAAAACAAACAACTGATTCTTTGAAAGATCAATAAAACTGATAAGCCCCTAGCCAGGTAAAGAAAAAAAGAGAGAAGACACAAATTACTAATATTAGAAATAAACGAGGAGGCATCACAACAGATCCCACAGATATTAAAAGGATAAAAAAGGAATATTATGAACAACACTATGCCCACAAACTTGATAACCTAAATGAAATAGACCAATTTCTTTAAAGATAAAATCATCTAAAATTCACACAAGAAGAAAAAGATAATCTGAATAGGCCTATATACATGTTAAAGAAATTAAATCAGTAATTAATAACCTTCCAAACAGAAAACCTCAAGCCTAGATGGGCTTGCTGGTGAAATCAATTGAATATATATAAGAAAGAAATTATACCAATCCTCAACAGCCTCTTCCAGAAGATATAAGCAGAAAGGAATATTTTCTAATTCAGATGTGAGGATAGCATTACTCAAATACCAAAACCAGGCAAAGACATTTTGAAAAAAGAAAACTGCAAACCAATATCTGTCATAAATGTGGTGTAAAATTCTCAAAATATTAGGAAATTGAATCCAATGATGTTCAAAAAAAATTTTACATCAGGACAAAGTGAGATTTATTACAAGTATGCAAGGTTGGTTCACCATTCAAATTAATGTAATCCATCTCATCAACAGGTAAAGAATTAAATCACACAGTCATATCAACAGATGGAGAAAAAGCATTTGAATAATCTAACACTCATTCATGATAAAAATTCTCAGAAAAATAGGAATAGAAGGGAACTTCCTCAACTTGATAAAGAACATCTACAAAAAACCTACAGCTAACATCGCACTTGATGGTGAGAAACTAAAATATTTCCTGCTAAGATCAGGAACCAGAGAAGGATATCCCTTCTCACCACTCTTTTTAACATCATACTGGAAGTCCTAGCTAATGGAATAAGATAAGAAAAGGGAATAAAAGACATACAGATTTGGAAGGAAGAAATAAAACTGTCTTTGTTCCAGATGACATGATCATCTATGCAGAAAATCTAAAAGAAACCATAAAAATTCTTCAGGAACTTATAAGAAATTATAGCAAGGTTGAAGGATATAAGGTTAATATACTAAAGTCCATTATTTTCCTACAAACCTGCAATGAATAAATGGAATTTGAAATTAAAAACACCACCAGGCACAGTGGCTCACACCTGTAATCCCAGCACTTTGGGAGGCCAAAGTGGGCAGATCGCTTGAGCCCAGGAGTTTGACACCAGCCTGAGCAACATGGCAAAATTTCATCTCTACAAAAAATATATAAATTAGGCCAGGCACAGTGGCTCACACCTGTAATCCCAGCTACTCGGGAGGCTGAGACCAGAGAATCGCTTGAACCTGGGAGGCAGAGGTTGCAGTGAACTGAGATCAAACCATTGTACTCCAGCCTGGGCAACAAAAGCAAAACTCCATCTCAAAAAAAAATGTGAATATATATATTTTTTTCACATTTTTATATATATATGTGTGTGTGTGTTAATTAGCTGGTCATGGTGCCACATGCCTGTAGTTCCAGCTACTTGGGTGGCTGAGGTGGAAGGATCCCTTGAGCCCGAGAGGCAGAGATTGTAGTTGCAGTGAGCTGAGATCATGCCACTGCACTCCAGCCTGGGCAACAGAGTGAGATCCTGTCTCAAAGAAAAAAAAGAAAAGAAAAGAAAGAAAATTAAAAACACCATAATATTAAAATGAATAATTAGATATAAGTCTAACAAAATATGTTCAAGATCTTTATGAGTAAAACTACAAACCTTTGATGAAATAAATCAAAGAACTAAATAAATGCAGAGATAGTTCATGTTTATTAATGGGGAGACTCAATATTATTGAGATGCTAGTTCTTTGATTTGGTCAATGCCAATCAAAAGCCCAGCAAGTTATTTTATGGATATTGACAAATTGATTCTAACATTTACATGGAGAAACAAAAGACCTAGAATAGACACGTTACATCAAAGGAGAACAAAGTTGGTGGACTGACAGTAGCCAATGTCAAGACTTACTACAAAGCTGCAATAATCAAGACAGTGTATTTCTTGGTAAAAGAATAAACAAGTAGATCAATGGAACCCGTAATAGAAAGCCCAGAAATAGATCCACTTAAATAGAGTCAACAGATCTTTGACAAGGAAACAAAGGCAATACAATGAAACAAAGATAGTCTTTTCAACAAATAGTACTGGAACAAGTGGACACTCACATGCAAAAAAAACCCAGAATCTAGACACAGACTTTACACCTTTCAGAAAAATTAACTCAAAATGAATTATAGACCTAAATGTAAATATAAAACTATAAAACTCCTAGAAGATAACATGGGGAAATCTAGATGATTTGGGATTTGGTGATGACTTTTTAGATACAACACCAAAGGCAGAATCCATGAAAGAAACAATTGATAGGTTGGACTTCATTAAAATTAAAAATTTCCACTCTACAAAGTACATTGTCAAAAGACTAAGACAAGCCACAGACTGGGAGAAAATATTTGCAAAAGATGTATCTGATAAATAATTCTTATTCAAATATAAAAACTCTTAAAACTCAACAATGACAAAACAAATGACCTGATTAAAAAATTAGGCAAATACTTAAACCTCACTAAAGAAGATACAAAGATGGAAAATAAACATATGAAAGGATGCTCAGCATCATACGTCATTAGGCAATTTCATATTAAAACAACAATGAGATACCTCTACACACTGATTGAAATAGCCAAAATCCAGAACATTGGCAACGACAAAAGATGGCAAGGGTATGGAGCACCGGGAAGTATCATTCATCACTAGAGGGAATGCAAAATAGTACAGCCACTTGGGAGGACAGTTTGGCAGTTTCCTACAAAACTAAACACACTCTTATCATATGACCCAAGAATCATGGTTTTTAGTATTTACCCAAATTAGTTAAAAACATATGGCTACCCAGAAACCTGCTCATGAATGTCTTCAGTAGCTCTGTTCACATTTGCTAAAACTTAGAGGCAACAAAGATGTCCTTCAGTAAGTGAATAAATAAATAAACTGTGGTCTATCCAGATAATGGAATAGTATTCAGCACTAAAAATAAGCTACCAAGCCATGAAAAGACGTGTAGGAATCTTAGATGCATATAACTAAGTAAAAAAAGTCAATCTGAAAAGGCTACGTATCGTATGATTTCAATGATATATTCTAGAAAAGGCAAAACTATGGAGATCCTAAGATCACTGATTGCCAGGGATTAGGCAGGAGAGTGGGATAAATAGGCAGAGCACAGAGGGGTTTAGGGCAATGAAAATTATCTGTATGATACTATAGTGGTGGATACCTGTCATTACATATTTGTCAAAACCCACAGAATACACAACACTAGGAGTGAAATCTAACATTAAATGCAGACTTTGGGTGACAATGTTGGGTCAATGTATGTAACAAGTTATCACTCTAGTGAGGGATTTTGACAGTCAGGGAGACTGCGTGCATGTAGGGGCAGAAATCTCAGAACCCTTTACTTAGTTTTGCTGTGAACCTAAAACCGCTCTACATATTAAAGTCTATTTTAAAAATTACTGTTTTAAAAAACATATGGGTTTTTTAAAGTCCACAGTAATCTCTGTGCCCCTCTCTTTTTCACTGTGATTCAATAGCACTTATTAAGCATGTTATATCTGTTTGCCAGGGCTGCTATAGAGAATACCACAAACTGGATGGCTTAAACAACAGAAATTTATTATTGCACAGCTCTGGAGAAATTCAAGATCAAGGAATCATTAGGGATGGTTCCTTCTAAGGGTTGTGAGAATCTGTTCCATGCCTCTCCCTAGCTGCTGATGGTTTAATGGCAATCTTGGACATTCCCAATATCTGCTTTCATGTTCACATGTCATGCCTGGATGTGTGTCGTCTTTCCCACCTTTTTTTTTTTTTTTTTTTTGAGACAGAGTCTCGCTCTGTTGCCCAGGCTAGAGTGCTGTGGCACAGTCTTAGCTCACTGCAACCTCCACCTCCCAGATTCAAGCAGTTCTCCTGTCTCAGCCTCCTGAGTAGCTGGGATTACAGGTGCCTGCCACCATGCCTGGCTAATTTTTTGTATTTTTAGTAGAGGCAGGGTTTCACCATGTTGGCTAAGCTGGTCTGGAACTCCTTGTGATCCACTCACCTCCGCCTCCCAAAGTGCTGAGATTACAGGTGTGAGCCACCGTGCCCGGCCAAGTTTCCACTTTTTACAAGAACACCATTCATATTAGATGGGGCCTACCCTACTTAACTACTCTTACTTAACTAATTACATCTCCAACAACCTATTTTCAAATTCTAAGGTGATATTCCAAGGTACTCATTGTTAGGACTTCAACATATGAATTTGAGGGGGACATAATTAAACCCATAATACATATCTATATACATAACACTGTGCTAGGTTCTGTTAGGAATCCAAAATATTATGGGGATTGCTCTTAAGAACATAACAAAAGTTATCCACAGCCCTAGCAATAGCACAATTTGTATCACAGGACAGTATAGGAATAAGGGTAAAATGAGAAGTACAGGTTGAGATAGATCACTTATGAGTTGAGATAGACCACTTATGGGTTGGAAGCTTGAGCAAAAGTTTTATAGAAGTAGTAAGGATTAAGTGGGGATATATCGGATGTCAATAAGCGGAGCAAGGTAAGAAAACTTCCACTACTGCACTGGGTAGTATTTCCCTTCCAGGGTCTGTGAGCAGACAGGGCCACAAGCGGGGGATGATCTAGGTGAGCAGTGAGCAGGTGATAAGGCTGGAAAAGTCAGTGGTGGGGCCAAATTACAATAAACCCCAAATAATCAATATGGGTTCCAGGTGAGGCAAAGCTGCTGGAGGTAGACTTCATTGGAAAAGAAATTCATTCATTCAACAAGCATTTATGGAGCCCTAACCTCTCTGCCCCAGAGGAGCCAATATACAAGTATTCTTTCTAAAGTAAAAGATCATCTGCAACTAAAGTACCCATTTATAAAAAGGGGTAAGCCTGGGACCTACCTGAGACAGAAATGATCCCAGGAAACTGGGTAGCTGGCCTGCTTTTATCTGTTTTTGTTTTTTCTTGAGTGTCATGTGCTAGAGCTTTACTTAGGAATCCTTGAAACTTGATTCAATCTTCACTCTTCAGCAAACTGCATGTTCTCACACTCAGTGGACCACAAAGACTATGCTAATAGATCCTAAATTGGACTCCAAAGAAGGACTGGAGTCCAAAACACAGCTCTGTAAGAATCATAACCCTCCCCTCATCATCACAGATGCAGGCTCTTGAGGAGGGAAAACAAACATAAGTAAAATTGTATTGTTCAGATTTCCAGTTATATAAATCAATGATATTTTCCTTGATACTGTACTGTATATTGTATATCATATGGATTTATAGGTTTTTGGATTGATTGAGCCAACTACCCTCTGTGTTACATCAGCAGGTTCTGTATCTTCTGGTGTCAGCATTAAAAAAAAGACAGTTACTTTTACATTCAAGATGAAATCACATTGTATTTTCAAAGCACATGTCATCTCAAAAAATTATGCTTAGGCAGGAGTTTTCATATAAATAATTCTGTACTGGGCAATCCATCAGAGGCTGCTTTTTGCTTTCTCCCTTTTTTTTTAAGCTGGCTAAGTGTGTGTTTTTTAATAAATAAGTAAAAGGATAAACCTTAAAAGCTCATCTCTAATAACAGGCTGGTAAGAAAGAACAGAGAAATTATTTTCTGGAAAATAATATTCTTAAATGATTATAGTTTGTCTTCTTGATTTAATAGATAGAAAAGTTTTAACCCTTATCATTCATTAACATGCATTACTTTTGGCATGTTATATTTGCAGGTACCTATAGCTGTAAATAATCTAATAGCTTAGTCATCCTTTTATTTCTTCTTGACATTTTTACTTTTTTATTTTCAGGAAATCATAGATTTTAAAATTTGGATTATTAGAGATCTTCTTGACCAACTACCATTGGTACAGAGCTTAACTAGTTAAAAACAATAAAACTCATTACTTTTCTCTTGTTTTAGTGTAATTATCAAAGCAATATAAAAACATTACAGAAACATTGTTACAGAGACCATCTTACTGATTTCTACCTTCTAACACAGCCAACATGATTTTTAGAATATTTCTTTCTAGTATTTCCCCATATGTAAATGTTTTATCATAATTATAGTAATTATAAAACTTGGCATCCCACTTTTTTAAGTTATAGGATGTTTCTAGTGGCAATAATAATTCTTTCTAACACAGGCCTATAGCTGCCCAAAGTCAGGCCTATAGAATTGAAGCCTTTACCTTTAAGAGGTAAAGCCTGGTGGCTTTGGTACGAGTCACCATCTCCTTGGAGAGAAATCTGCCTGCCCAGACCAAGAAGAGCACAATGCAGGGGTTCCCAAAAATAACCCTGGAGAAGCAGCATAGAACCAGATTGGGGCCTGGGGGGAGTTTGAAGGCCAGATAGGAAGTCTAGCCTTGTTTCAGTGAAGCACACGAAGGCATCCTTTTTGGCCAGAAGTGCGAGCTTTGGAAAGGTATAGCAGCTGCTGAATAAGGGACAGCGGTGAGGGGAGAGAAAACACCTGGAATGATGCCAAGCGAGGGGAGGCGGGGGTAATTTCTTGGCTTGAGGTTAATGACATGGAAGTGGTGAAGAAAGCATGAATCTGAGACATTGCAAGTTATGAAATCATAAGATTGGCCAGAAGACTTTATTTAGAGGCTGAAGAAAAAATTGACCCAAAGGTCAAACTTGCTCTCACTCCCCATCTCAAGAAGCTTCCTCCTACCCACACTTCCTTCTGAACTCCCAAGAAAGGAGACTCCTCTACTCATGAGACTACTGATCATGCGTGGGGGCTGTTGATGGGCCCATGTGCGTTAATGGGTGGGGTCACTGCACCTCTGAGGGCAAAAACCCAGGCTCCATTCTCTCATGGATTTCCTCTTTCTCCTCATTTCACAGAACTGGTAAACTCCAGCACCGCTGGCCCCTTCCATGTGACTCAGTGAAAAAGCAGACTCAGATGCTCCTGCACCTTTCCCTGTCTGTCTCGCTGCAGGCACACAGGAGGTTCTTGTATTAGGCACTAGGTATGGGAGAAGTGGGGGCCAGGGAAGAGCAGAAAAGGGCAGGGAAGGGGAGAGCAGAGGAGGAGACCCCATTTAGCCTCTAGCCTGAGGACTCACCAGGTGCACTGGAAGATCAGGAGCCTGTCCTGCCACTCACTGTAGGAGTCCACTTCCCATTCAGACACCATCCTGAAGAGACCAGCTGCGATTTAAACGCAGGCCTACTGGGCCCCAAGCCCAAGCTCTTCCCAGTATCACACTTGCTTGAGGCTTTAATATGCAATTCAGAACCACAGGTAGAAAAGGATCATGACAATTATTTCCGTTTGTTGTTTCAAAGTGATGTATTTTGTTGGACAACAATTAAGATGTGAGCCAAAACTTGCATATTATGGAACATAACTGGGCTGGCGAGGTTAGTTACCAAGCTAGTTTCTTACGCGAACCACCCGGCAAGCAGCAAGTAGGAGGCCGCCAATGCCCATTTCCAGTGGAATATTAGGATCCAAGGGCTGGGCTAGCCCAGGCATCTTCAAACTGTGTTCCCTGGAATCCTAAGAGATCAGCGCAGGAGCTTTAGCATCATCCAGGCCTTTTCAGCCAGAACAGATCCGTTATCAGCTTTATTTGCTTACACTTCCTAGTATGTTTAAGTAAAAAAAAAAAAAAAAAATAGTTTTTTTGACAGTTACTATAAGTTCGAAAACTGAGCTAGTCCAATCTTCTCATTTTGTAAAAGAAAAAGAACATGAAATTGTAGAAATCTGAATTGACTTCCCTCAAATCATACACAGCTATTAGAGACAGGGTTAGCCCTAAGACTCTAGGAGAGCATTGCTGTGTTTCAGGTGAGTTGAGGTTATTCAGTGGGGACCAGGGGAAGCGTGCAGTGCTGATGGCATTGGGAGTCTGCCTTGCACCACGTCCTGCAGTTTCACTGGTTAAATGCTTTTCTCCCTAACGTTATGCCAGATTGTGCGTATGGAGGCTCTGGGAAGTTCAAAGATATTGCTCATTTTTTCCTAGGAATATCAAGGTTTCTTTGATGTGTTCAACTGCTTTTACTTTGACTCATCTCTGAATTTGAGGTAATGCTCATTCTTTTCCAAATATAACACTAGCCTTCATTGTCCATAAAAACTGATGAAACTTACATGGAGAGGGAGCCTCCTTAACATTAAAATAGTATGTCATGAACAATTAGGCAGTAGAAAGTGATCTGGAATTTAACCAGCTAGGAACCTACACATGCATATGAAAAGGAGACAAAACAGTTAATGTAAATTAAAGGAGACAGAAATTAAAGAAACACTTGGAAAAATATTAAATGGGAGTGTAATTGTGCTGAGATACTTCATAATGCTCAAGTGTGATTATTATTTATTGTCATGATGAGGGCTATGCAAGCTGTAATGGTAATTTCGACCAAAGTCAAACATGTAATTTAGTAATTCTGGGCGTGCCTATAGTTGTCTTTTGAGTTTGGGATAACAGCAACTTTTTTCACAGCTTTGAAATTGGTTCGGAGCCACAAGATCATAAGGTTCAATGACTTCCACCCTGGTGACCCAGAGCCCAAGATGCTCGTGATACTACCAGAGATGTGTTCCAATGTTATTACTCCTAGCATATTTAATGAAATTAAATTTCTTATACTGCTGCAGCATTTTAAGAAAACACTTTCCACCGTTTGTCTGGTGATCTATCAGCTAAGAGACCACGCAACAAAAACCAAATTTTGTTACATAAAGAAAGCACGTGGTTCAGGGTCTACCCACACTAAGCTGCTAATTCTCAGTCATAATGCTTACAAATACCAAAATTCCTGACTCAACTACCAGTCAATTCAGCTGAATACCTACTCCCCTGCCCCAGTGAAGCAGTGGTTGAACTAATTTGGTCAAATCCATCATTCAATGTGGCTTCACATAATTTCAGCTTTAGGGCCTAAAAGTAACTCAAAAGCTGAAATTAAAATTCTATCTTTAGTAAACCTAGGTGTGGGGCCCCCATTACCTATTACCTCAGTGTCTGCCTCTATAAGGTGAGAACGTTAATTATACCCACGTTCTAGGAACGATGCTAGAAATTTCAATAAATGATGCACTTCCCATCACCGGGGCCTGGCAGGAAAGGGGACTCTCTCTGCCCCATGTTACGTTCTCCCCTTTGCTTGCTGATGAGCCCGGTGAGCCTGCATCCTCCCCACTTTCACCACCAAGCTCTGACTCAGGCTCTGCACATGGCTGAGGAGCACAGAGCAGAAGCTGGAGGGCCCCTAATGAATGTTAGTCACTGATGTGAACCCTGAGCTTTGAGCAGATGATTCTAAGGACCTTGGGGGATGGAGGAAATGGAAGGAGACAAAAAGCACATTTAAGAAGCAGGTGAAGGTCGTTTTCAGGACCATTCCAATCACCTCTCTGAGTCTCTCTAGTCCTTCTGGTACCTTTTCAACATCTCCCCGCAGCCCCAGAATAAGCATCCTACTGGACTGTGGACATTGTGTGGTCCTTCAGATCTTTCATCCCTCTTATTCCTTCTCACTGTCTCTTGGTCCCAGCAACACTCCTCTGACAATGGGGAATAACAAGAATCACTGTCCGCTTTCTGCTTTGCGTCATGTTACATGCATGCTTTAGTTTACCTCCTGGACTATAAGCCACTTGAGGAGAGAAACTCTCACATCCACAATTTCTCAAACATATTTGTTGAATAAACAAAGGAGTGAATTATCTCATCTTCTACATCCATCCAGGCAAGAAGAAAAATAATATCTGCTGGGTAGCTACTGAGTATCAGACCCTGTGAATACTTCATCATCTAACACCCTTTAATAATCCAACAACATGACTTGGTTACTACTGTTTTACAGATGAAGAAATTGAGACTCACACCTTTGCACTCTCTGTTCCCTCTGCCAGGAACATCATCTGTAGGTTGCATCCTTCTCACCAGGTCTCCACACAAAGTTTACCTCCTCAGAGATGTCTTTCCTGACCCCCCAATCTAAAAGAGGCTTCTAGTACCTATCCCATCACCCTGATTTATTTCTCACTTTCATCCCATAAGAGGCATTTATCTTATCTGAAATTATTTTGTTCATTTATTTGTCCCCCTGCTAGCTAAGCCCCCCGTGGAGCAGGTACCTTATGGATCTTGCTAATTACCATCTCCCCATGGCCAAAAGCTATATGTAAATATCTAAACGTAGTAGGTATTCAAACAAGATTTATTAAATAAAAGAATTAGAGAGTGAGTGAATGAATGAGCAGGGCAGGAGGGAAGAAGAGAATAAGGTGAGTCAGCCAGTAAGACCCAGGACAGAACTGAAACTGACGATGTCTGATTCCAAGCCTGTGCTCTTCCCACCTCTGCAGTGGCTCTGCTACCTGCTAACTACAAGAATTACTTGGGGTGTTGACTAAAATGTAGATTCCCAGACACCTCCCCTAGAGAGTCTAATTCCATAGGACCCAAGCTCTGTATTCTATGAATATGAGTGATTCTTGTGTTCAGCTAAGTTTAGAGAACACTAAACTATATTCCGCTGTGTTTCATTGTGTCAGCATGGCAAGGGGACTTGGAGGCAGGGGGCATTCTTCGAATTATGCCCTTAATGTAGCCACCTGTAAGACCAGCCCTGAGAGATTCAGTCCTCTTTCCCTACTCATCTGTTAAGTGTTTACTGAACTTCTACTATTAGCCAGGCATTGGTCTAGGAGCTAGAAACTTATCAGCGCACAAAGAAGACAAACTGTCAACAAATAGGAGATAAACACTAGGTGAATCTATGAGCTGTTTATAAGGGAAGAGCGGGAACAGTACTTAGATAACGTGGTCAGGGAAGGTATCACAGCAGGGGGGAAATTTTGGCCTGAAGACTGGAAAAAAAAAACAAGCCAGCCAGGCAAATCGCCAGAGGGAATGCAAGCCAGGCAAACAGAACAGCAAGTGCATATTCCTGAGTGAGAAAGAAGCGGCCATGCTTAAGGAGAGAAGGTGGCCACATGGCAGAGTGCAAGACAGCATGAAATAGATGAGCTCACCAAAAGATCGTCAGGGACCAGACCAGCATGTGCCTGGTAAGCCACATCAAGGTGTGGAGCTTGGCCTTCACCCTACATGCAATGCAGGGACACTGAAGGCTGTTATCTAGTGAGGTTAACATGATGGAACTGATGTTTTAAAAGATCGTTTGGGCTACAGTATGAAGGAGAACCCAGAAGAGGGAGAAGGAGAATTGGAAGGTGCAAGATAGTGAAGAGGGCACTGTAGTAATCCACACCTGGAATGACGGTGGTGTATCAATTAGCGCTTGCTTCTTGACAAACTACTTCCAAAATGTACAGGCTTAAAGCACAATCATATTTTAGTTCATAATTCTGGGAGTCAACAATGTGGGCTGGGTTCAGCTGGGTGTGTCTTCCACTGATCTCAGCAGGGCTCACTCATCTATCTATAGTCAACTGCCAGTCACCAAGCTGAGGAAGTGATGAGGGAGACTGAGCCTCATGTCTCTTATCATCTAAGTCAGTTCATATTGTGGTGGTTGCTGGGCTCCAAAAGCAGTGAGAGAGAACAAGTCCCCAAAACTAGCAATTGTCAAGTCTCTCCTTGTCATGCTAGCTATCAGCCCATTGGCCAAAGCAAGTCACATAGCCAAGCTCAGAGTCATCATAGGACAAAACTATTCTAGGGCTTGGAGACAGGGAGGCATGAAAAAATTGGAGGCTACTTCGGCAACCTTCCTCATGTGATCTGGACCACGATGGTGGAAGTAGAAACGGGTAAGTGGATGCATTTTTAAAACTATATTTAGAAAGTGGAGCCAACAGAACTGGGTAATTTATGGTGAGGAATGAGGGATAGAGAAAGGACAATGGATGATTTCTAGGCTTCAGGCTTGAGCAGCTAGGTAAAGTTGACGACACTTGTTCACAAGTGGAAGATAGAGAAAGCAACAACATTTATCCTTTCCCAAATCGATCTCCACATCTGTGTACAATGGTTCTCAAAATTTTTGGTTTCAAGACCCTTTCAAACTCTTAAAAAATTACTGAGGACTTCAGAGAGCTTTTTGTTCATGTGGATTATTTCCACTGATATTTCACGTATTAGAAATTTAAGTGAATAAATCTGAAAATACTTTTACTTCATTTTTTAAAAACAATAATCTATTGCAGATTGCCATAAATAACGTAATCTTATAAAAATAGCTATTTTCTAGAACAGAAAATAGTGATAAGAATTTCATTGTGTAACAATTTTTCAGATCTCTTTAATATCTGCTTAGAATGCAGCTGAATTCTCATTTCTGTTTCTGCATTTGATCTGTTGAGATATCCGTTTTCATGGATGCACATGAATAAAATACAATTTGACACAGATGTGTAATTGGGAAAGGGCAGAATATTTTAGCCTTTTCAGATAATTGTGAATGTTCTTCGATACTATGCCAAAAGTCAACAAGTGGCGGTTTTATAAGGTTAGTAGTGATATGGAATCTGAAGCTATGTTGATAAATTTTTTCCTACTTAAAGTCCATCTGTCTATTCTGTACTTTGAATGGATCTTTTACTCATGCATATTTTGAAAATATCTGTTCATTAATTTATACAAATATTTTTATTGTTGACATACATTACATATGTACATAACTGTTGACATACATACATAATTGTGGACATTACATAATATCAAAAAAACCAATGTGCATTAATACCACCACCAACCTCACCAAAAAAGCCTTTAAGCATTGAGAACCTGTCAAGCTTGTAGTGGCAGACACAAGTTTTCCAAAATTCTAATTTTCACTTGAAAGCTCAGATTTTATCATTGGCAACAAATACTGTCAGTTGTTTTACTAGAAGTGACAGGCTCCCTTCATTCGTTTTTAAAAGAAAATGTCTGCCAATACCCAAGCCTGAATAACCAGTTTGTCTGTCAGACATTTTCAAGTAAAAAATAGTGTTTCATGAAAAAAGCAACTAGTTCAGCTCACAACTCAATCACACAGTGCTTTGCATCCAGGCAGCCACTGTACCGCATGGTGTGGCAGAAATGTTTTATGCGCACTTCCCACTTTTTTGCACATAATATTAAAAATATGTGTACTCAAGGTCTAAAGTTTAATAAAATTAATCATTTCACTGCTTTATCAGGGACATACTTAAGTGAAGCTGGCATTGTCTTTTTTAAAATTTTTTTACTGTGGGTGCTCGGTGGTGTGAATACCATGCATACTCCCACAGCTTGAGGCCACTTCCCCAATTCATACAAAGGCTCCTGCAGTTCTGTCCTATCACTGCTTTTGCGCCATCAGTAGAAATGTCAAAAAAATGAAAAGGGCAAATGACATCTAATGTTATTATGAAAACAGTTTTGCCCCCAGACCCCTCCCCCTTAAGTGGTCTTGGAGACCTCCAAGGGTCTATGGATCACACTTTGAGGACAAACCCACCCAGTGCAAATCTAGATGGATGAGATATACATATATATATATATATATATATATATATGAAATATATGAATTTTATAGACAGGTTTTGCTTTCCCCCAACCTTCCCACCATGAATGCATAAGAGGAAGTATCAGCGTCAAGAGTGTTTATTTGACAAGTACTGGACACATATCAATCTAAGCAATGTGTGTGTATAAAAACAGTCAAAGGCATAGTAGAGGTGACAAGATAAGACATGGCAGATAAAACAACCAGGGGACAGCTACGGATTGAGCAATGCAGGCTGGGGCACAAGACTGGAGAGAGCAGAGGGATACGGAATGTAAGAAGGATCAGAATGGGATGTCGTTAGGTAAGAAAGCTTCTTGGAAGCCAAATTTTGAAGGGCAAAGGGGACAAAGATTAAACAAAGAAGAGAAAGACCTTTCATATAAAACTTACTGTGTAAGCAAAGGCGGAGCCTGACATAGAAGAGAGGAGAATGGTTGGTGGTTAAGAAACACCAGCTCTGGAGAGCCAGTGACCTAAACTTGAATTCAGATTCTGCCACCTTTTGATGTGTAGTCTTGTGACTTTGGGTAAGTAATATAAACACTCTATGCCTCAGTTGCCCCAGATGTAAAATGAGTGACATGACAGTACTGACTCCATGGGATGACCATGAGGACTAATGTGATCATGAAGGTAAAATACCTTGCAGGCCACCTCACCACATGGCAGGCTTTCCATAGATGTTTGCTGGCAGCAGAAGTTACAATAGAGAGTGGAAGAGAAGGAAGGAAATTAAAGCAGGGTCTGGCAAGACACGGGAAGGGACAGTGAAGTCAAACAGCTGAGTTGGAGTGGAAAGGGCCCAGAGTATTGAGAGATGATGCTGGAGAAGGGGAAGTGGAGGAAAAGTTTAGGGAGCACTTGGAGTGCCTGGCTGAGAGGCTGGGTTAAGCATATTAAACAGAAAGAAGTCACTCAGAGATTGGGCCAGGAGAGTAAAGGGATTTTTCAAAAAACACAGTATTTGAGGAAAATTTACACTGACCCAGTGTACCCTAGGGGGAACAAGCAGGGCTCAGAGACAAGACACCCTGTATGGAGGCTTTGGATGAAGGTGCATCAAAGGTGAAGGCTTTCAGATGGAAGTTTCAAACAAAACAGATTTCACAAGAAGGAAAATGAGATTAAGAGCACAGATGCAATGGCCCTAGTTGTATGGTGTGGTTTGGTCTGTATTTGGCCAGGATCACCCGTCCTCTTCTGTTAACCCTTTCTCTCTAAATGGATCAATTAAACTTCAATATCAAATCCAAGGGAAACACAAGTGGAACTGTTTCCTCATTTGGCGTTGAAGGTTAAAATGCATGCACACACACAAAACACCAGTTGTTTCAGCTACTTAAAATTCTTCAAAGCTTTCTATTACTGTTAAGATAAATTCAGTCCTCTCACAAAGAAAACACAACACTTTTTGTAGCCTCTGACTGCTTGCTGGCTCCATGGCTCGAGATTTCCCAAATATACCCACTTTTTCAGGAGCCTGGAAATCAATTCCAACTAGCTCAAGAAACTAAGTGTATGTATGTGGGCAGGCTGGGTCGGGGAGACAGACAGAGGAGGGGAGTGAATATATTGGTGCGTTGAACTGATAACCTAGGAAGTTACCCTCTAGCCATCTCAAGATAACTGCAGTTTTCTAAACACAGGGCTCTCTTTCACCCCTAGGACTGAGGCTGGAAGGTGTGGACACATGCTCCTTCCCAGGAATCCCAACAAGTCTTGTTCCTGTTCACCACCCACCTCTACGCTCTTCCAGGAGCCACTTCCTGGTACCAGCCCGGCCTAGCCCCACCCCCACCACCGAAGTACATTTCTTCTTTCCCTTCTCCTATAGCAACTTTTGCTGGGACTTTGTCCTCCAAGAATGGGCCCCAGCATTGCTTGTAAGCATGCTAGGGCTATGGAAGCTTAAGCATGACTCCAGACCTCCTAACTTGGAATTTGCACTTTAAGGAGATCACATAAGACACAGTATATTAGCGACTTGAGGCAATTCATATATGACAATCACTTATTTGCACACAAGTCTCCTTGAGGACAGGCATTTTTTACTTTTAGCTAAATTTCTTGAAGAGGGCCTGCAACATACCAGATGTTCAATAATTGCTTGCTGGATAGGTGACAGAATAATGAATGAACATGCTAAATGTGATTTGTTCTTACATATTTAGGAATTATTTTATTTTTATTTATTTATTTATTTATTTTGAGATAAAGTCTCTCTCTGTCACCAGCCTGGACAGCCTGGAGTGCAGTGGTGCCATCTTGGCTCACTGCAACCTCCACCTCCTGGGTTCAAGTGATTCTCCTGCCTCAGCCTCCCGAGTAGCTGGGATTATAGGCATGCGTCACCATGTCTGGCTAATTTTGAATTTTTAGTAGAGACGGGGTTTCACCATGTTGGCCAGGATGATCTCGATCTCTTGACCTCATGATCCACCTGCCTCGGCCTCCCAAAGTGCTGGGATTACAGGCATGAGCCACTGCGCCCGGCCATATTTAGGAATGATTTCTAAACAAGGATTAAAATAGTTATCCAGTAGAGGATTCATTCAATTTCATCAGTAGCAGAAACACTAAAACATATAGATGATACATTCATTTTAATGTGCTTATTTCTAAATGCCTACTTATGTATATAAGCCACAGCTCCTCCTTTCCTGAGAACTCCTGTTTGATTTTAGAGAAATCAAAATATTCCAATAGTCAGAAAACGCATGTATACACTCTAAGAATAAAACCATCTCTCTCTCTCTCTCTCTCTCTCTCTCTCTCTCTCTCTCTCTATATATATATATATATATATATATATATATATATAATTAGGCCTTAAATGTTGACCAATGAATCTTTATGACAATTATTGACTTGTAAAGCTCCTCCTAGATTAACGTACAATCAAATCTGTGCTTCTAAATTTTTTTCAATGTTTTTATTTGGTTCCCACACCCCCCATTTTATCTTTTCAACAAACAAAGGTAGTGGTAAGAGCAGTTTGTCATTTTTAAGGCGTGGGGATTAAACTCTAACTAATTAGAAGATTTGCCCATTATTTAAATGAAACTTGTTTGCAGTTTCGCCATCCATGTGGATCCAGAAAGGCAGCCGACTGGCCCATCAATTTGGTTAGAAAAGAAAAAATGATAAGGCAACTGACAGTGTTCTCTCGTGGGAGACTCTGGCCGTACTGTTTCTCCAGTATTAATTATCCACGTAAACATACTTCACTAGGCTGCACAATCATCTGGCCTGCTCTGAGCTCCCCAGTCAGCAGCCTCCTGGTCTTCCTTTTCCTACATTTGCATCCTCGATGTCAGCAAGTGCTGTGCGCTGATGTGTTCACTGTCAACAACACACGGGGAAATCTCGCTCTGGGCAGCCAAGAGTTATCTTGGCTTCAGGCTGCCTCTGAAAGCGAGGTTAGCCTTCAGCCACATGTAGGAAAGACTCATTTGCAGTCCTGGCACCCCTTCCTGGTTAGGATTTTAAAAGACGCTGCCAGCACACTTTGTGCATGAACTTTGAGAGATGTGCAAGGAAGTGTTATTGGCGGGGCATTCAGGAACTCAAACTACTGGTGCCACAGAACTGATGGGAAGAGAGAGGCAGGGAGGAGGAAGAGGAGGAGAGAGGGAGAGACTCGACTGGGCAACCCCCACCTCATTCGGTGAAGGAATTTTAAACCGTTGGCATTAAAGATTCCACCTCTCTTTCTATGAGCTCTTCAAATGGTGAAGGAAGAGTGGATTCCCGTGACAGGAAAGGCAGGGCTGGCTTTGGACCCAGATAACAGAGTGAAGCAAAGAACACACAGTGAAGTCAGGGCACATGGGACCTGGAAAAGTTCAGATGAGGCTCAAAGCCAGAAGGGTTCCGTACTATGGATGTTAAGGGGATTTTTCTTTCTTCCCCTTCAGACAGATTCATGCATTCTCAATTACAACTTGAGCTCTATGTGAGACCCAATTCAAGAACCCCAGTAGGAGTTTCTCTACCATTAGATAATATACTAGAACCGCTTTTATTTTAAAAAACAAAAACAAAAACAAAAACAAAAAAAAACACCTAAACCAAAGTCATTCCCTGGACATTTTGCATCATCACCCTCTAGATAGATAGAGCATGGAGCTCTACCCTTCTGAGAGGCAGCCCAGGCCTCCTGCTGCCCTACACCTTACTCCTCACAACTGGCTGCACACTGGCACTCCCCCTCCACTGGCATCCCACTCATGCCACAGGACTCAGCATGGACAGTGCCTCCTTCCCTAAGAGTAGACTGTGTCCCTGCAGCCCCCCTCCTGGGGCTTTCCCAGCATGCTGAGCCCTCTCCCGTTCAGGCAGTTACTCCTAGACCCTGTGGTGCCCTTCTGAAAGGTTGCTCTTCACCACTGCATCCCAGCACAAAGCACAGTGCAGTAATCGTTGTCACCTCCCAAAAGCCACCTATGATGACTAAAGTCGTCCATTCTCACACTGCTATAAAGACCTTCCTGAGACTGGGTAATTGATAAAGGTAAGAGGTTTCATTGACTCACAGTTCCACATGGCTCGGGAAGCCTCAGGAAACTTACAATCATGGCAGAAGGTGAAGGGGAAACAAGGACTTTCTTCACAAGGCAGCAGGAGGGAGAAGAGGGAGCAAGACAGGAACTACCAGACGCTTATAAAACCACCAGATCTCATGAGCACTTACTCACTATCATGAGAACAGCATGGGGGAGCCACCCGCCATGATCCACTCACCTCCCACCAGGTCCCTCCCTCAATGCCTGGGGATTACAATTCGAGATGAGATTTGGGTGGGGACACAAAGCATAACCATATCAAACACACATGAAAGAACAGAGGCAGTGGAGTCAACAGACATGGTCGGTCTCTTCTCTCTCTCTCTCTCTCTTCCAGGTTTTCTTATTTAGTGGAAGGGAGAGTAACGTTGAGACAAGCAGCAGTTCCTATCTTGGTGTCCCTCCTTTGCCCTCTTCCTTTCCCCTGACAGCCCAGCTGAGGAGAGGAGGAGTTCTTTTGCCAAAGGAAAATTCTGCAGCCCTGTCTCCCATCCCCAGCCCAGTCAGGATGTCCCCTTCCCTGCTCCTGCCTTCCTTCGTGTCACACCTGCATGTCCCTGTGGCACGGGAGAGGCCCCAACCTCAGAGGGAAGGCCTCTGGAGCATCAGAGAATACTTCCAAAAGCCCTCCCTGCTTTCAGCATCGAGGCTACTAAGGCACCACAGCCAAATGTCTGCACCTCTGCTCTCTGTTCAATGTGTTTCAGCTTCTGTATTTGCCAGCTTTTCCCTTTTAATCTCCAGAAGAGTGTGCTTTCTTGCCCAATCTCCAATTTTCAGAATATTCACCCCAAAATAAGGTATCACTGCCTGGTACACTTAAAGTTTGTTGGTTTCTTGTACTTCTTTTTGGTGCTTCACCATTACACAGTCAGAGTCTTCTCCAACATGATCTACCACGTAGCCCTAAAAAACCTTCTGGTTTTACATATACTTCACACTACTGTATTGTACACTTAAAAATGGTTGAGATGGTATATTTTATATTTTGTGGGTTTTACCACAATAATTTTTTAAATTAAACATTTTTAAAATCTAAATTTTTAAATTAAACATTTAAAAAATTTAAAGTCTTTATTTTTTAGAGCAATTTTAGGTTCACACAAAATTGAGCAGAAGGTACAGAAATTCATATATATTCCCTGTCCCCATATACACACACAGTCTCCCCTATTATCAAATATCTCCTGCTAGAATGATACATTTGATACAATGAATGAACCTACATTAATACATTATTCTCATCCAAAGCCTATAACTTACATTAGGGCTCACTCTTGGCGCTATACATTCTATGAGTTTTGTCGAACATAGAGTGACATGTACCCAACATTGCAGTATCATACAGGATGGTTTCACTGCCCTAAAAATCCTCTGTGCTCTGCCTATTCATCTGTCCCTCTCCCCTAACTAACCCCTGTAAACGACTTATCTTTTTCCTGTCTTCATTCTTTTTGCCTTTCCTAGATTGTCACATAGTTAGAATCACACAATGTGTAGTCTTTTCAGATTAGCTTCTTTTCACTTAGGAACATGCATTTAAGTTTCCTACATGTCTTTTCATGGCTTGATAGCACATTTCCTTTTAGCACTAGATAATATTCCATTGTCTGCATATACCACAGTTTATCTACCCATTCACCTACTGAAGGACATCTTGGGTTGTTTTCAAGTTTTGGCAGTTACAAAAAGAGCTGCTATAGTCATCTGTGTGTAGGTTTTTGGGTGGCTATCACTTTTCAACTAATTTGGGTAAATACCAAGAAGCACAATTGCTAGATCATATGGTAAGACCATGTTTAGTTTTGTAGAAAACCACCAAAGTGTCCTCCCAGGTGGCTGTACCATTTTGCATTCCCTCCAGCAATGAATGAGGATTCCTTTTGTTCCACACCCTTGCCAGTATTTGGTGTTGTCAGTGTTCTGGATTTTGGCCATTTTAATCAGTGTGCAGTGGTTTCTCACTGTTTTAATTCGAAATTCTCTAATGACATATGATGTCGAGCATCTTTTCATATGCTTATTTTCCATCTGTATATCTTCTTTGGTGAGGTGTCTGTTCAAGTATTTGACTCATTTTTCAGTCAGGTTGTTTGTTTTCCCATTGCTGAGTTTTAGAGTTCTCTGTATGTTTTGGATAACACTCCTTTATCAGACATGTCTTTTGCAAATATTTTCTCCCAGTCTGTGGTTTGTCTGAGCCTTTTCACAGTAAATTTTACAGAGCACAAATTTTTAATGAAGTCAAACCTATCAGTGATTTCTCTCAGAGATCCTGCCTTTGGTGTGGCATCTAAAAAGTCATTGCCATATGCAAGGTCACCTCGATTTTCTCCTATGTTACTTTATAGGAGTTTCATAGTTTTGCATTTCATGTTTAGGTTTATGATCCACTTGGGTTAACTTTTGCGATGAGAGTGAGGTCTATGTTTGTGTCTAGATA
Source organism: Homo sapiens (assembly GCF_000001405.40). Taxonomy (NCBI): domain Eukaryota; kingdom Metazoa; phylum Chordata; class Mammalia; order Primates; family Hominidae; genus Homo; species Homo sapiens. The sequence continues at coordinate 156,320,493 of NC_000006.12, forward strand.
CTTTCCCTTTTTTTGCATGTGGATGTCTAGGTTGTTTCAACACCATTAGTTTAAAAGATTATCTCGCTCCATTCTGTTGCCTTTGCTTCCAAAGATCAGTTGACTACATTTATGTCTATTTCTAGGCTTTCTAGTCTGTTTCATTAATGCATCTGTCTATTCTTTTACCAATACTACACTGTCTTTTCAAAAATGTTTTCATTGATACATAATAGATGTACATATTTTCAAGGTACATGTAATAATAACATCATAATTTGTAAATAGTCGATAAATGTAACTGGAATATCCACCACCTTAAATATTTATCTTGCTTTAAGCTAGAAACATTCAAATTACTCTTTCCTACCTGTTCTGAAATATACAATAGATCACTGTAAACTAGAGTCACCCGACTGATCTTGCTAACACTAGGCCTTATTTCTTCTATCAAACTGTATATTTGTAACCATTCATCAACCTCTCTTCATACTCCCCATGTCCCTACCCTTCCGAGCCTCTGGTAGCCACCAAATTACTCTCTCTTTATGAAGTCCACTTCTTAGCTCCTGCGTATGAGTGAGAACATGTGATAGCTGTCTTTCTGTGCTTGGCTTATTTCATTTAACATAATGACCTACAGTTCCATCCATGCTGCTGCAAATAAGATTTCATTCTTTTTTATGGGTGAATAACATTCCATTGTATATATATGCCACATAATATTTATCCATTCACCCATTGATGGGTACTTAGGTTGATTCCATACCTTAGCTACTGTGAATAGTGCTGTAATGAACATGGGAGTACAGATATCTCTTCAATATATTGATTTCTTTTGAGTATATAACTCAGTAGTGGAATTGCTGGATTATATAGTAGTTCTCTTTTTAGTTTTCTGAGGAAACTCTATACAGTTTTACATAGTGGCTATCCTAACTTACATTCTCACCAACACTGTACAAGGGTTCCCCTTTCTCCATATCTTCACCAGAATTCATCATTCCCTGTCACTTTCATAAAAGTCATTTTAACTAGGGTGAAGTGATATCTCATTGTGGTTTTGTTTTGCATTTCTCTGATGATTAGTGATGTTGAGCGCTTCTTTTATATTCCTGTTGGCCATTCATATATCTTCTTTTGAGAAATGTTTCTTCAGATCTTTTGCCCATTTTTTAACTAGTTTATTTGGGTTTTTTGCTAGTGAGCGGTTTGAGCTCCTTATATATTCTGGTTATTAATCACTTGTCAGATGGATAGTTTGCAGATATTTTTCCCCCATTCTTTGGGTTGCTATCTCACTTTCTTGTTTGTTTTCTTTGCTGTGCAGAAGCTTTTTATCTTGATGTAATCCCATTTGTCTATTTTTGCTTTGATTGCCAGTGCTTCTGAGGTCTCACACAAAACATCCTTGCCCAGGCCAATGTCCTGGAGTGTTTCCCCAACATTTTCTTTCAGTAGTTTCATAGTTTCAGGTCTTAAATTTTTTCCTAATTTTTATATATGCTGAAAGATAGGGGTCTAATTTCATTCTTCTGCACATGGTTATTCAATTTTCCCAGCCCCATTTATTGAAGAGACTGCCCTTTCCTCATTGTCTGTTCTTAGCACCTTTGTCAAAAATGAGTTGGCTAAAAATGCATGAGTTTATGTCTGAGTTTTCTATTCTGTTCCATCAGTTTAGCCTATGGGTCTATTTTTATGCCAGTACCGTGTTGATTTTATTACTATAGCTTTATAGCATATTTTAAAGTCAGGTAGTGTGATGCCACCAGCTTTGTTCTTTTTTCTGGAGATTGCTTTGGCTATTTAGGATCCTTTGTGGTTCCATACAAATTTTAGAATTGTTTTTTCTGTTTCTGTCAAGAATGTCATTTGTATTTTGATAGAGATTTCATTGAATCTGTAAATTGATTTTAGTATTGTCATCTTAACAACATTAATTATTTCAATCCCATGAGCATGCAATACCTTTTTTTTGTATCCTCTTCAATTTCTTTCATCAGTGTTTTATACTTTTCTTTATACAAAATTTTCACTTCTTTGTTTAAATTGATTCCTTGGTACTTTATATTCTTTGTAGCTACTGTAAATGGAATTGCTTTCTTGATTTTTTTCAGATTGTTCACTGTTGGCATAGATAAATGACACCAATTTTTATATGTTGGCTTTGTATCCTGCAACTTTACTGAATTTATCAGTTCCAATCGTTTTTGGTGAAGTCTTTAGTTTTTTCTAAGTATAAGACAATGTTGCCTGTGAACAAGACTAATTTAACTTCTTCATTTCCAATTTAGATTTTCTTTCTTTCTCTTGCTAGTACTTCCAGAATTATGTTGAATAAAAGTAATGAAAGCAGGCATCTTTATCTTGTTCCAGATCTTAGCGAAAAGGCTTTCAATTTTGTCCTGTTCAGTACAATGTTAGCTGTGGGTTTGTCATATATGACCTTTATTATTTTGAGATATGTTCCTTCTATATCCAGTTTGTTGAAGGTTTTTGTCATAAAAGCATGTTGTTTTAGGGAGTGTTTTTTGGCATCTGTTGAAATAATACTATGGTTTTTGTTCTTGGTTTTGTTAATGTATCACATTTATTAATTTGTGAATGTTGAACTATACTTGCATCCCTGGAATGAATCACATTTGATCATGGTGAATGACCTTTTTAATGTGTTAAATTCAGTTTGCAGGTATTTTCTTGAGGATTTTTGCATCTATGTTCATCAGTGATATTGGTCTGTGGTTTTCTTTTTTGTTGTTGTTTCCTCATCTAACTTTGGTATCAGAGAAATGCTGGCCTTATAAAATGAGTTTGGAAGTGTTTTTCCTCTTCATTTTTTTTAAGAGTTCGAATAGAATTGATATGAGTGCTTTAAATGTTTGGTAAAATTCAAAAGTGAAGACATCAGGTCCTGGGCTTTTCATTGATGGGAGATTTTTTATTATGGCTTAGATCTCATTGCTCATTATCGGTTTGTTGAGATTTTCTATTTCTTCATGGTTCGATCTTGGTAGGCTGTATGTGTCTAGGAATTTATTTTTTCTAGGACTTTCAATTTGTCAGCATATAGTTGTTTGTAATAGTCGCTAATTTTTATTTCTGTGTTCTCAATTACTATGTCTCATTCCTCATTTCCGATTTTATTTATTTGAGTCTTCTCTACCTTATTCTTAGTCTAACGAAGACTTTGTTAATTTTATCTTTTTGAAAACCAAACTTTTTATTTCATTGATATTCTGTAGTGTTTTCTAGCCTCAATTTCATTTGTTTCTACTCTCATCTTTATTATTTCTTTTCTTCCACTAATTTTGGGTTTGCTTTGTTCTTGCTTTTTTAGTTCCTTGAGGTGAATTGTTAGCTCGTTTATTTGAAGTCTTTCTACTTTTTTGATATGTTTCTATTGCTATAAACTTCCCACGTAGTACCACTTTTGCTGTATCGCATAGATTTTGGTAACTTGTATTTCCATTTTCATTTCTTTCAAGAAATGTTTAAGTTCCTTTTTAATTTCTTCATTGATTCATTGGTTATTCAGAAGCATGCTGTTTAGTTTTCATGTGTTTTATATTTTTGAGGTTCCTCTTTTTATTGATTTCTAGTTTTATTATATTGTGGTCAGAAAAGCTACTTGATATGATTTCTACTGTTTTGAATTTGTTGAGATTTGTTTTGTGCCTAAGATATGGTCTATTCTGAAAACGTTGCATGTGCTGATGAAAAGAATGTGTATTCTGCAGTATGTAGGTGATATGTTCTGTAAATATCAGTTAGGCCTATTTATAGTTTAATTCCAATGTTTCACTATTGATTTTCTCTCTAGGTGATCTTTCCATTACTGAGAGTAGGGTGTTGAAGTCCCTTACTATTATTGTATTGCAGTCTATCTTTCCCTTTAGATCTATTAATGTTTCCTCTACATACTTGGAAGCTCTGGTGTTGAGTACATATATACTTATAATAGTTATATCCTCTTGCTGAACTGACCACTTTGTCCTTACATAGTGACCTCCTTTGTCTCTTCATTACATGTCTCATTTGCAGTCTATTTTACCTGATGTAAATATAGCTACTCCTGCTCTTTTTTTAGTTTCTACTTCTATGGAATATCTCTTTTAACCCCATCACTTTCAGTCTACGTGTCTTTACAGATGAAGTGGGTTTCTTGTAGACAGCATATAGTTGGGTCTTATTTTTTATTTATTCAGCCACTCTATGCCTTTTAACTGAAGAATTGAGTCCGTTTACATTCAGTGTTATTATTGATAAGGAAGGACTTACTGTTGCTTTTTGTTGCTGGTTTTCTGGTTGTTTTGTGACTCTTATCTTCCTTTCTTGTTGTCTTTTTTGTGCTTAAGTGATTTACTGTAGTAGTATGCTTTAACTTGTTGCTTTTTATTTTTACTAAATTTGTTATAGGTTTTTGCATTGTGGTTATCATGAAGCTCACAAAAATATCCTATACATATAACAAGTTATTTTAAAGAGATGACATCTTTTTTTTTTTAATTTTTTTTTTTATTATACTCTAAGTTTTAGGGTACATGTGCACATTGTGCAGGTTAGTTACATATGTATACATGTGCCATGCTGGTGAGCTGCACCCACTAACATGTCATCTAGCATTAGGTATATCTCCCAATGCTATCCCTCCCCCCTCCCCCGACCCCACCACAGTCCCCAGAGTGTGATATTCCCCTTCCTGTGTCCATGTGATCTCATTGTTCAATTCCCACCTATGAGTGAGAATATGCGGTGTTTGGTTTTTTGTTCTTGCGATAGTTTACTGAGAATGATGGTTTCCAATTTCATCCATGTCCCTACAAAGGACATGAACTCATCATTTTTTATGGCTGCATAGTATTCCATGGTGTATATGTGCCACATTTTCTTAATCCAGTCTATCATTGTTGGACATTTGGGTTGGTTCCAAGTCTTTGCTATTGTGAATAGTGCCGCAATAAACATACGTGTGCATGTGTCTTTATAGCAGCATGATTTATAGTCCTTTGGGTATATACCCAGTAATGGGATGGCTGGGTCAAATGGTATTTCTAGTTCTAGATCCCTGAGGAATCGCCACACTGACTTCCACAATGGTTGAACTAGTTTACAGTCCCACCAACAGTGTAAAAGTGTTCCTATTTCTCCACATCCTCTCCAGCACCTGTTGTTTCCTGACTTTTTAATGATTGCCATTCTAACTGGTGTGAGATGATATCTCATAGTGGTTTTGATTTGCATTTCTCTGATGGCCAGTGATGATGAGCATTTCTTCATGTGTTTTTTGGCTGCATAAATGTCTTCTTTTGAGAAGTGTCTGTTCATGTCCTTCGCCCACTTTTTGATGGGGTTGTTTGTTTTTTTCTTGTAAATGTGTTTGAGTTCATTGTAGATTCTGGATATTAGCCCTTTGTCAGATGAGTAGGTTGCAAAAATTTTCTCCCATGTTGTAGGTTGCCTGTTCACTCTGATGGTAGTTTCTTTTGCTGTGCAGAAGCTCTTTAGTTTAATTAGATCCCATTTGTCAATTTTGACTTTTGCTGCCATTGCTTTTGGTGTTTTGGACATGAAGTCCTTGCCCACGCCTATGTCCTGAATGGTAATGCCTAGGTTTTCTTCTAGGGTTTTTATGGTTTTAGGTCTAACGTTTAAATCTTTAATCCATCTTGAATTGATTTTTGTATAAGGTGTAAGGAAGGGATCCAGTTTCAGCTTTCTACATATGGCTAGCCAGTTTTCCCAGCACCATTTATTAAATAGGGAATCCTTTCCCCATTGCTTGTTTTTCTCAGGTTTGTCAAAGATCAGATAGTTGTAGATATGCGGCATTATTTCTGAGGGCTCTGTTCTGTTCCATTGATCTATAACTCTGTTTTGGTACCAGTACCATGCTGTTTTGGTTACTGTAGCCTTGTAGTATAGTTTGAAGTCAGGTAGCATGATGCCTCCAGCTTTGTTCTTTTGGCTTAGGATTGACTTGGCGATGCGGGCTCCTTTTTGGTTCCATATGAACTTTAAAGTAGTTTTTTCCAATTCTGTGAAGAAAGTCATTGGTAGCTTGATGGGGATGGCATTGAATCTGTAAATTACCTTGGGCAGTATGGCCATTTTCACGATATTGATTCTTCCTACCCATGAGCATGGAATGTTCTTCCATTTGTTTGTGTCCTCTTTTATTTCCTTGAGCAGTGGTTTGTAGTTCTCCTTGAAGAGGTCCTTCACATCCCTTGTAAGTTGGATTCCTAGGTATTTTATTCTCTTTGAAGCAATTGTGAATGGGAGTTCACTCATGATTTGGCTCTCTGTTTGTCTGTTGTTGGTTTATAAGAATGCTTGTGATTTTTGTACATTGATTTTGTATCCTGAGACTTTGCTGAAGTTGCTTATCAGCTTAAGGAGATTTTGGGCTGAGACGATGGGGTTTTCTAGATAAACAATTATGTCGTCTGCAAACAGGGACAATTTGACTTCCTCTTTTCCTAATTGAATACCCTTTATTTCCTTCTCCTGCCTGATTGCCCTGGCCAGAACTTCCAACACTATGTTGAATAGGAGCGGTGAGAGAGGGCATCCCTGTCTTGTGCCAGTTTTCAAAGGGAATGCTTCCAGTTTTTGCCCATTCAGTATGATATTGGCTGTGGGTTTGTCATAGATAGCTCTTATTATTTTGAAATACGTCCCATCAATACCTAATTTATTGAGAGTTTTTAGCATGAAGGGTTGTTGAATTTTGTCAAAGGCTTTTTCTGCATCTATTGAGATAATCATGTGGTTTTTGTCTTTGGCTCTGTTTATATGCTGGATTACATTTATTGATTTGCGTATATTGAACCAGCCTTGCATCCCAGGGATGAAGCCCACTTGATCATGGTGGATAAGCTTTTTGATGTGCTGCTGGATTCGGTTTGCCAGTATTTTATTGAGGATTTTTGCATCAATGTTCATCAAGGATATCGGTCTAAAATTCTCTTTTTTGGTTGTGTCTCTGCCCGGCTTTGGTATCAGAATGATGCTGGCCTCATAAAATGAGTTAGGGAGGATTCCCTCTTTTTCTATTGATTGGAATAGTTTCAGAAGGAATGGTACCAGTTCCTCCTTGTACCTCTGGTAGAATTCGGCTGTGAATCCATCTGGTCCTGGACTCTTTTTGGTTGGTAAACTATTGATTATTGCCCCAATTTCAGCTCCTGTTATTGGTCTATTAAGAGATTCAACTTCTTCCTGGTTTAGTCTTGGGAGAGTGTATGTGTCGAGGAATGTATCCATTTCTTCTAGATTTTCTAGTTTATTTGCGTAGAGGTGTTTGTAGTATTCTCTGATGGTAGTTTGTATTTCTGTGGGATCAGTGGTGATATCCCCTTTATCATTTTTTATTGTGTCTATTTGATTCTTCTCTCTTTTTTTCTTTATTAGTCTTGCTAGCGGTCTATCAATTTTGTTGATCCTTTCAAAAAACCAGCTCCTGGATTCATTGATTCTTTGAAGGGTTTTTTGTGTCTCTATTTCCTTCAGTTCTGCTCTGATTTTAGTTATTTCTTGCCTTCTGCTAGCTTTTGAATGTGTTTGCTCTTGCTTTTCTAGTTCTTTTAATTGTGATGTTAGGGTGTCAATTTTGGATCTTTCCTGCTTTCTCTTATAGGCATTTAGTGCTATAAATTTCCCTCTACACACTGCTTTGAATGCGTCCCAGAGATTCTGGTATGTGGTGTCTTTGTTCTCGTTGGTTTCAAAGAACATCTTTATTTCTGCCTTCATTTCGTTATGTACCCAGTAGTCATTCAGGAGCAGGTTGTTCAGTTTCCATGTAGTTGAGTGGCTTTGAGTGAGATTCTTAATCCTGAGTTCTAGTTTGATTGCACTGTGGTCTGAGAGATAGTTTGTTATAATTTCTGTTCTTTTACATTTGCTGAGGAGAGCTTTACTTCCAACTATGTGGTCAATTTTGGAATAGGTGTGGTGTGGTGCTGAAAAAAATGTATATTCTGTTGATTTGGGGTGGAGAGTTCTGTAGATGTCTATTAGGTCCGCTTGGTGCAGAGCTGAGTTCGATTCCTGGGTATCCTTGTTGACTTTCTGTCTCGTTGATCTGTCTAATGTTGACAGTGGGGTGTTAAAGTCTCCCATTATTAATGTGTGGGAGTCTAAGTCTCTTCGTAGGTCACTCAGGACTTGCTTTATGAATCTGGGTGCTGCTGTATTGGGTGCATATATATTTAGGATAGTTAGCTCCTCTTGTTGAATTGATCCCTTTACCATTATGTAATGGCCTTCTTTGTCTCTTTTGATCTTTGTTGGTTTAAAGTCTGTTTTATCAGAGACTAGGATTGCAACCCCTGCCTTTTTTTGTTTTCCATTGGCTTGGTAGATCTTCCTCCATCCTTTTATTTTGAGCCTATGTGTGTCTCTGCACATGAGATGGGTTTCCTGAATACAGCACACTGATGGGTCTTGACTCTTTATCCAACTTGCCAGTCTGTGTCTTTTAATTGGAGCATTTAGTCCATTTATATTTAAAGTTAATATTGTTATGTGTGAATTTGATCCTGTCATTATGATGTTAGCTGGTGATTTTGCTCGTTAGTTGATGCAGTTTCTTCCTAGTCTCGATGGTCTTTACATTTTGGCATGATTTTGCAGCGGCTGGTACCGGTTGTTCCTTTCCATGTTTAGCGCTTCCTTCAGGAGCTCTTTTAGGGCAGGCCTGGTGGTGACAAAATCTCTCAGCATTTGCTTGTCTCTAAAGTATTTTATTTCTCCTTCACTTATGAAGCTTAGTTTGGCTGGATATGAAATTCTGGGTTGAAAATTCTTTTCTTTAAGAATGTTGAATATTGGCCCCCACTCTCTTCTGGCTTGTAGGGTTTCTGCCGAGAGATCCGCTGTTAGTCTGATGGGCTTTCCTTTGAGGGTAACCCGACCTTTCTCTCTGGCTGCCCTTAACATTTTTTCCTTCATTTCAACTTTGGTGAATCTGACAATTATGTGTCTTGGAGTTGCTCTTCTCGAGGAGTATCTTTGTGGCGTTCTCTGTATTTCCTGAATCTGAACGTTGGCCTGCCTTGCTAGATTGGGGAAGTTCTCCTGGATAATATCCTGCAGAGTGTTTTCCAACTTGGTTCCATTCTCCACATCACTTTCAGGTACACCCATCAGACGCAGATTTGGTCTTTTCACATAGTCCCATATTTCTTGGAGGCTTTGCTCATTTCTTTTTATTCTTTTTTCTCTAACCTTCCCTTCTCGCTTCATTTCATTCATTTCATCTTCCATTGCTGATACCCTTTCTTCCAGTTGATCGCATCGGCTCCTGAGGCTTCTGTATTCTTCACGTAGTTCTCGAGCCTTGGTTTTCAGCTCCATCAGCTCCTTTAAGCACTTCTCTGTATTGGTTATTCTAGTTATACATTCTTCTAAATTTTTTTCAAAGTTTTCAACTTCTTTGCCTTTGGTTTGAATGTCCTCCCGTAGCTCAGAGTAATTTGATCGTCTGAAGCCTTCTTCTCTCAGCTCGTCAAAATCATTCTCCATCCAGCTTTGTTCCGTTGCTGGTGAGGAACTGCGTTCCTTTGGAGGAGGAGAGGCGCTCTGTGTTTTAGAGTTTCCAGTTTTTCTGTTCTGTTTTTTCCCCATCTTTGTGGTTTTATCTACTTTTGGTCTTTGATGATGGTGATGTACAGATGGGTTTTCGGTGTAGATGTCCTTTCTGTTTGTTAGTTTTCCTTCTAACAGACAGGACCCTCAGCTGCAGGTCTGTTGGAATACCCTGCCGTGTGAGGTGTCAGTGTGCCCCTGCTGGGGGGTGCCTCCCAGTTAGGCTGCTCAGGGGTCAGGGGTCAGGGACCCACTTGAGGAGGCAGTCTGCCCGTTCTCAGATCTCCAGCTGCGTGCTGGGAGAACCACTGCCCTCTTCAAAGCTGTCAGACAGGGACACTTAAGTCTGCAGAGGTTACTGCTGTCTTTTTGTTTGTCTGTGCCCTGCCCCCAGAGGTGGAGCCTACAGAGGTAGGCAGGCCTCCTTGAGCTGTGGTGGGCTCCACCCAGTTCGAGCTTCCCGGCTGCTTTGTTTACCTAAGCAAGCCTGGGCAATGGCGGGCGCCCCTCCCCCAGCCTCGCTGCCGCCTTGCAGTTTGATCTCAGACTGCTGTGCTAGCAATCAGCGAGATTCCGTGGGCGTAGGACCCTCTGAGCCAGGTGTGGGATATAGTCTCGTGGTGCGCCGTTTCTTAAGCCGGTCTGAAAAGCGCAATCTTCGGGTGGGAGTGACCCGATTTTCCAGGTGCGTCCGTCACCCCTTTCTTTGACTCGGAAAGGGAACTCCCTGACCCCTTGCGCTTTCCAGGTGAGGCAATGCCTCGCCCTGCTTCGGCTCGCGCACGGTGCGCACACCCACTGGCCTGCGCCCACTGTCTGGCACTCCCTAGTGAGATGCACCCGGTACCTCAGATGGAAATGCAGAAATCACCCGTCTTCTGTGTCGCTCACGCTGGGAGCTGTAGACCGGAGCTGTTCCTATTCGGCCATCTTGGCTCCTCCTCCCGACAACTTATCTTAGACCACAAAAAAAAGAATAGAAAAAAAGAAAAATTTAAAAACAGACCTCTCAACACTTTAACTCCCTCTCTCCACATTTTGACTTTATGTTGCCTCAATTTGTATATTTTATATTGCCTATTTCTTAACACATTGCTGTAGCTATTATTGTTTTTGACAGACTTGCCTTTGGGGCTTCATAATACAGTTGAGTGGATTGCACACCATGATTACAGTATTAGAGTATTCTCAGTTTTTCCATGTACTTAATTTTGCCAGTGGGTTTTATACTTCCAAATGTTTTCTTTTTGCACATTAGTGGGTTTTTTTCATAATGAGAAACTCCTTTTAGCATTTCTTATAAGGTGAGTCTGATAGTAGTAAATTATCTGAGCTTTAGTTTGTCTGGGAAAGACTTTCTCCTTCATATTTGAAGGATATCTTTGCTGTATACAATATTCCTGGATACAGATTTTTCTTTTCGCATTTTAAAAATGTCATCCCACTCCCTCCTGGCCTGTATAATTTCCATTGGGAAATCTGTCACCAGATGAATTGGAACTTCTTTATATGTGATTCTTTTTTCTTGTTGCTTTTAGGATCTTTTCTTTGTCTCTCAGCTTTGAGAACCGGGTTACTATATGCTTTGGGGTAGTCTTATTTATGTTGAATCTGTTTGGTGTTCTCTGATCTTCCCATACCTGGATATTTCTCTTTCTCAAATTTGGGTATTTTTTGTTCTTATATTTTTGAATAAGCTTTATAATTCTTTCTTTTACTCATCCCCTCTCAAACACCAACAATTCTTAGATTTGGTCTTTTGAGGTAATTTTATATATCTTTTAGGCAATCCTCATTCTTTTTCATTCTTTTTTCTTTTCTCCTCTATTGTCTATTTTGAAGTAATCTGTCTTTGAACTAATTCTTTCCTCTGCCTGATCCATTCTACTATTGAGCATATTGAAAGCCTCTAAAGAATTTTTCAATTTAGTAAATGTATTCCTCAGATCTAAGATTTCTGTTTTTATTTCAATCTCTTCATTAAATTTCTCTGATAAAATGTTTAATTGATTTTCTGTATTACACTGGAAATTACTGAGTTTCCTTAAAACTACTATTTTTAATCCTTGATCAGAGAGTTCACATATTGCTATCTCATTAGGGTCAGTCACTGGTTCCTTGCTTTGTCCCTTTGGGGAGGTCATGGTTCCCTGTGTGCTGCTGTTTCTTCTGAATGTATGTCTATATCTTTGCATTGAAGAATTGGCTATTTATTCCAATTTTCTCTGTCTGGATCATTTTGGATTTTATTTGATGTGTTTGCTTAGGGATTCTTTGTAATTTACCTGTTGATTTTCTCTTTTGTTGGTTTTTCCCCCACTAGATTGTTGCCTCCTTTTCAGCACTAGATGCCACCTTAAGCTCAAGTTTGCCTTGGTTCTAGTAAACAGAGTATTGCCTGCCCTGAAAGGGGAGGTCTCAAAGAGGATATCCTGGTAATGTGGAAAGGCTGGCTAGAGTTTTGTGCCTAGGGGACATGTGGGACAAACCTCCTCCAGCATGGTTCCCATAGTTCCCATGCTGGGGGAGGTTTGTCCCACAGGTCCCCTGGCATCTGATTCGGCATCTCTGTTGGCCACTTTACAGGGCTGGGGATAGCAATACCATCCCCTGCTTTTTTCTCTGACTATCCTCAGGGATATTTCTCCCTTCAGTCACTCCTGATGCTTCCCATGGTTTGAAGCAGGGATAGATCTTCTGCCAGGGAACCCAAGTTGGTGGAGAAGCTTGTTGTCCACCTTGATCTCACTTTTTCCAGTGTAGAAACAATGTATAATTGGAAAATGTTTCATGTGCTGGGTGCCAGGCATAGTAGGGGAGGGGTATTTTGTCTGTGAACATCCAATTTTCTTACTGTCTGCTCAGAATTTCTTCACTTCTCTGTGGCCCTAGGGACAGTTCTCTCTTCGTATTTCAGTTCCGAGATGTCGCTAGTGATAATCTCACTGCTATATATTTGTTTTAGGTTTTCTGTGGTGGGGACTAAAGCTAATATGCTTCTATGCTACCATTTTAAAACAGGAAGTCTACACTGTCTTGACCATAAATTTAGAGTAGGTCTTGAAGTCAGGTAGTGACAGTCCTTCAACTTTGTTCTTCTATTTTAGTATTGAGTTGGCTATTCTGGGCCTTTTGCTCTCCATGTAAGAATTAGTTTGTCATCAGAATTAGTTTGTCAATATCTATAAAATATCTTACTGGGATTTTGATTGAGATCGTCTTGAATCTATATATCAAGTTGGGAAGAACTGACATCTTGATACTATTGAGTCTCCCTACCCTTGAACATGTAATATCTCCTCCATTAATTTAGTTCTTCTTTGTTTTTTTTAATCAGAGTTTTGTAGTTTTCCTCATTTAGATCATGTACACATTTTGTTAAATATATATGTGTTTCCTTTTCTGGGGTGGTAATGTAAATGGTACTGTGTTTTAAATTTGAAATTCCATTTGTTTTTTGCTGGTATATAGGAAGGTGATTGACTTTCATGTACTAGCCTTGATCCTATGACTTTCCTATAATCACTTATTAGTTCCAGGAGTGTTTTTGTGAATTATTTTGGATTTTTTTACATAGAAGATTATGTTATCTGTGAACAAAGACAGTTTGATTTCTCCTTCCCAATTTGTGTGCCTTTCATTTCCTTTTACTGTCTTACTGCATTAGCTAGAACTTACATTTGAAAAGGAATCACGATGGGGGACATTCTTGCACTGTTCCTGATTTTCTTTGGAAAGCTTTTCGTTTCTCAACAAAATAAATAAATAAATAAATAAATAAGGTTCTAAAAAAATTCCTTTGGCCGGGCGCAGTGGCTCACGCCTGTAATCCCAGCACTTTGGGAGGCCGAGACGGGCTGATCACAAGGTCAGGAGATCGAGACCATCCTGGCTAACACGGTGAAACCCCGTCTCTACTAAAAATACAAAAAAATATTAGCTGGGCATAGTGGCGGGCGCCTGTAGTCCCAGCTACTCGGGAGGCTGAGGCAGGAGAATGGCGTGAACCCGGGAGGCAGAGCTTGCAGTGAGCCGAGACTGCACCACTGCATTCCAGCCTGGGCGACTGAGCGAGACGACGTCTCCAAAAAAAAAAAAAAAATTCCTTTGTCGAGAAACCTCCAGGGCTACCTCCCTGGCAACAGAGGGTAATTTTCAGTGGGCAGCTCTATGAATTATTTCTATGTGCTGTGAGTTGAATTGTGTCTCCCGAAAATATATTTTCTAATTATAACCTCTAGAAGCTTGGGATCTGATATTATTTGGAAATAGGGTTATTGCAAATGTAATCAGTTAAGATGAGGTCACACTACAGCAGGGTGGGCCCGTAATCCAATATTACTGCTGTCCTTACAAGAAATGAGGAGAAACACAGAGACAGACACAGGAAAGAAGGTCATGTGGAGATGGAGGCATAGTCTAGAGTGATGCAACTGTAAGCCAAGGAACACCAAAGACTGCCAGCAGCCACCAGAATTTGCAAAGAGGTGAGGAAGGAGTCTACCCAAGTGCCTTCAGAGAGACTATGGCCCCAGCAACACCTTGATTCAGACTTCTAGCCTCCAGAACAATGAGAGAATAAATTGCTTTTGTTTCAAGCTACCCAGTTTGTAGCACCTTAAGTTGTGGCAGCCCTAAGAAACTAATATACTAAGTATACAAACCCATAGAATATTTGAAAATTTGCTTCTAAGTTGCATAAAACTTAGTAATCTGCCCCTGCAACATCCCTTCTCTCATAAGCACAAATGTAGTAGCGATTCTTTCTATTCTCCAAAGGGTTGCCTGTGCCTCTACAACATCACCTTATGTTCTCTTTTTCAGTCAACACAAGCCTAAATCCTTGGCTTTTCCACATCACCAAGTTTCCTGAGTCCCTGAATCATTCTCATTGCTTTCGCTTTACTTTCCCCATTGCTACAATACTCTTTTTATACCAAAAAGATAAGAATTGAAAATGAATTCTAAATGAGACTCTGCTAGTCCTTTTATATAATGGTAGAATAATTCTCTTTGACTCAAATTCAATACACTCTATTCACACCTCTCAAAGCTGTTGGTACATTTTTGTACAGCTTTATCATTGTGGTTTCAAGTACTAGCTATTGTCACACAGGATGCACAGACTGCTGGAGGTTTAGAGGTTACAACCCATTTGCTTTTTGCCTCTCACTTCATCATGTCACTGTTGTCTGAAATTGCACACTAATAACATGTATTTAATATGCACTTCATTCAATATTACAAATTTCCATATTAATTAGGTCCAGTACATGAAATAGAAGCTCTTCCACTCCCAGGTTAAGGCAGGAACAAAAACTGACATTTATTGAACACCAACTACGCCAGACACATTACATACACAATCACCATAACTCTATGAGGTAGGTATTATTGTTATTACTATTAATATTTTTATTATTTCCATTTCACAGACATAGACTCAAAAAAGGAAAATAACTTCACCCAAAGCCACTGTTAGTAGGTATCAGACCAAGAACTGGAATCCAGGTCAATCTGATACCAAAGTCCACATTCTTCCTCTGGACCACAATGCCAGCAAGCACAGGACAGGTGGCATTTTTCTCTCCTGCCGGAAAGAAACTGAGACTTCAAAGAACATGAATAATAAGCCAAAGAGGTGATGCATTCTGGGAGAAAGAGCACTGCATTAAGAATAAGAAACCCTGAGCTCTAGAATCACGTCTTCTCTTAAGCTTCCATAAGCCATACACGCCTAGAGATCATAAACTGAGTTTTATTTACTCATGGCAGTGTGATCTTGAGCAAGTCACTAAAACTTTCTGGGTTTCAGACTTGTCATCTGTAAAATAAGATACTTGGAGGAGGCAATCTCTTAGCTCCCTCTGAGCTTTCATCTTGATTAGTTCCAAACCAAGAATTGGAGAATGTTCTTCCCTTTGTGCCTTTAGTTTTATGCACATGATGTGCTTCAAGTTCATCATACTCAGCACAGAACACTTCCAATTTCCTATTAATTTCCTTTCATTTTTCTTAGATTCCTTAGTTTTCCCCAGAGTGAAGGGCATACAGCAATACAAGAAGCAAGAAAGCTCACTTCTGCCTCTCACTCAAATTCTCATGAGGATGGGGCCAAGCCACACTTGTACCACTGCGTCAGCGACAGGACGGCACTGGGGAGGGACCATTGGTCCAGTTCCTGCAGCTCAGCTAGTCACCTCTGACCAAGCACAGCAGTTACCATGGCAACCATTGCACTGTGCTCCGTGGAGGCCATGGGTTGCAACTGCAGATGCCACCACCAGCAGACACAGGCTCTTCTCCACTCCCAGCCCACTCTGACTCAGCGGCACTGTCCACACACCCCAGGAGCAGGCTACCAAAAGCAATCAGTTAGAGTGAGATCAAAAGTAGATCCCAGTGGGAAACTTCTATTCCCATATCTCTATCATACCCATAATAAGCATTGCACACACAGCAGAGACTTCTTTCAGATGATGGAATAGAACCCGCTGATGCTTCTCAGCCCACCTTATGGCAAACATATCCACCCAAAAGAGAAAATTATTAAAATATCAGCATTTCCTCATTGAGCTGTGAATTAAAAAGTATCCTCTTTGCAGTCTGAGGATGTGGGTCTAAGCTCTGAAGATTCTGCCTGTGTCTTTATGGTGTATACAAATTACCTGGAGATCTTGTTAAAATGCAGATTCTGGTTCAGAAATCTTGGGTAGGGCCCGAGAGTCTGATTTCTTACATCAGGGGATGCTGATGCCCTGGTCCATGCTACTGAAAGCTTTGAGTAGCAAAGCCTTAGATCACACTAGCTCCTACTGCACATAAAGCTGACCTTGCCCAATCTCTGCCATTTATCATTTCAAAAAGGAATCAGAGTAAATATTAGCTGGTTCAAAGCACACATTTCTACAGGGCAGGGACTACATCTGCTTGGAAAAAACATAATAGCTACAATTTATTGAGGGCTTGCTCTTTGCCAGCGCATGTGTGCACATGCGTATATGCCTCATGCAACAGCCTTTGAAACACAGCTGCTACTTAATCAAAATTTAAAGATGAGGGAACTGAGGCTCAGATCTATGCCATGACTTACCTAAAGTCAGACTCTCAGTGAGTACTCAAGCTGGGATTCAAACCTGCCTTTCTCCAAACCCATGTGCCTTTCTCTCCCCACGAGCTTCTCTGTGTATCTACAGAGCACACAAGGGGTCTCGCCGCACACTGCTTCCTAAGAGCAGTGGTCTTGTCGTGAGTTTCTGTGTTCCCCCATTGCCACCGCTTCAGGGAAAGACATTGGAAAAAAAATTAGGAAAATCCCCATATTCACCTTTGGTCAGCCTCACAGCTATTACCTCAGCAATTAGGGTTTTCATGCATTGGACAAAGATTTATTGTTTCCCATGCACAAATCATGTGGGGATTAGAAGAAGCAAAGGACATAGCCTCTGCCTTCCTCATTCTAGCTCCTGTTGCTGATTTTCGATCTCCTCTTATCTCAGTCTCAAGGAGGCTCACAATTTCTTCCCTGTGGAGGCCAGACTCTGCCATCACCAGACTGGTGTCACCTCTTGTTGCAGGCTGAGAAGGCTGGCTACTGGGGCTGAACTTCAAAGGTGTCCCCAGTGGAGACAGACATCCTGGGACTAAAGTGATGGAATAACGAGGGTTTGTGGCAGGCCAATCTGACCTGGGAGAGAAAGTCCCGGCTCTGGAGTCAGACATTTGGCTCAAATGTTAATTCCAGTACTCACTAGAAGTGTGGCCTTAGAAAAATTATTTAACCTCTCTCAGCATGAGAGGTTTTTTGTTCTATTTTTCATCTTAATGTTGGGGTTACTAACACCCACTTCAAAGATTTTATTGTACTACTCTGCCAGTTTTGTAATCCCAAGCACATGATGGGGCACTCAGTGAGGACTAGTTTCCTTCCTTCTGCTAGTGCACTGGGCATGGTGTAAAAGTGAGAAGCTCAGGGTGAATCAAGGAGCAATAGAAAAGACAGAGCTGAGGAAGAAGTGACATCTGGTGCTTTTTTTTTTTTTTTTTTTTGAGACACAGTCTCACTCTGTCGCCCACGCTGGAGTACAGTGGCACGATCTTGGCTCACTGCAACCTCCGCTCCCATGTTCAAGTGATTCTCCTGCCTCAGCCTCCTGAGTAGCTGGGATTATAGGCATGCACCACCACACCCAGCTAATTTTTGCATCTTTAGCAGAGACGGGGTTTCACCTTGTTGGCCAGGCTGGTCTTGAAAACTCCTGATCTCAGGTGATCCATCCCCCATGGCCTCCCAAAGTGCTGGGATTACAGGCATGAGCCAACATGCCCTACCCCATCTGGTGCTTCTTACGAGAGCAAGCAGACTAGACTGGGAAGGATCAGAGGAAGGGATGGACAGACAAGTAGACAGCAATCACACGACCAAAACCACACTTGACAACCAGGAAGCAAAACAAGGAAGCAAGACAGAGCCAGCCAGATCCAACAATGGGATTCTTCCTGGAAGTGAGTTGTTTCCACAAGGTTATTGGAACTATATTTTCCCCCTTCCTCCCTCCCTTCCTCTCTTTTTTTCTTCCTCCCTCCCTTCCTAGCTCCCTCCCTCCTTTCCTTCTTTCCTTCCTTCCTTCCTCTTACCATTTACATACTCAATCTCCTTGAAAAGTCCCAACCTGGTATGGTGTCTGTTATGGCCACTATTATGACTTACTCTTACTAAAACAGCAACTTAAGCTCTTGACTAGTGTTCACCATAGACTACTGCCAGTTCCTGCCATCTGTAGTCCTGTTCAGCTGCAAGCACTGAGGTTCTTTGGTCTTCATGAAAGTTCAGCCCAGCAGCCCCATGCCAGCTATTTCAAACTAACAAAGGGCCTTTCTACCCAGGTTTATTGTTCAAGCACTGAGAAGTGACTGACAGCCAGAGTGATTCCTTGTCTCCCTCTCCCAGCCAGTCCCAAATTTCTCTGCATCCTCATCGGTCTGCCCCTTGTATCCTAACACAGAGTTCCATATGATGACAACCAAGTTGGGCATCCCAACAAGTATCTGCCTATTAGTTGGGACTATGGAAAATGGGAAGTAGAGGAGGGAAGGGGGGAATTTCACGCCAAGGCATGATCTTTTCTTGTTCTTGCTAAGCTTTACAATGCATTTTCACTTGGTTTTTGGACAATCTAATATTCAAGACAAATCTACCACTCTTGCTCTATCACAGCCTTCTGTTCCCACATCAGTATTTTTCAGTATTACTCAAATGCGGGACATCTCAGACTTTAATGTGTATACAAATTTCACGTGAGGCTTTTTAATATGAACATTTTGACTCCATAGACCTAGTGTACACCCAAGATTTTCCACGTCTAACAAGCTCCCTGGAAATGTTCGTGTGGCTGGTCTAAAGGCTGTATTGTAAGTGTCAGGACTCTAAAGGGGGAAAAGTATGAATAAAATGGGACATATTCTATTCCCGAATCGCCTGTGTCCTCAACTAAAGGGAATTCCACCGGATTCTATATTATTGTCTTGTTGCGAGTCCATTTCCACACAAGAAACATCTCCTTCTGTCATCTTCTACCGACATATCAGAGTGGTGCCAAATCCTGCCACACCCAAGCGGAACAACCCGGGAAGTTTCCTCCCCTGTCTGTTATGATGGTCATAAAAGCTTAGAGATGAGAAAGAGGAGGGTCACCTTCCAGCATCTGCATTTCTTTATCAGGAGCCTCAGAGCCAATTCTGACATTTATAACCTTCAAATCATGGTGATGGGATGGACCTTGGAGACCATCTTAGAAATCTAGTCTTGTAGTTTTTTAACATTGTTTTAGTTGTAGAATCCTTTCTTCCAATGCAAGCATACGTGAAGTTAAAAATAAAAGGAAATAAAGAGGAGGAGCTCTCAGGCTGAAGAAAGAGAACCTTTCAGATGCTGAGCCCTCTTAACAGAAATTGAAGGACTGTCCCGTGTCTCGTATCTTGATAGTTGCATTAGCAGGATAAGAACACAGATGCTTCTGCTGCCTTCACCTTGATTTCCACTATTCCCATTCACTTAGGGGCGCAGGCTGATGTAATGGAAGAGAACACGGGCTTTATGGCCAGATAGATATGGATTTAAATCATGTCTTTACCGCTTATGGTCTATATGACCTTGGATAAATTACTTATTCTCTTTGCACTCTGTTTTCTCATAAGTAAACTAGAAATAATTCCTAGATTATTGGGTTGTTGAGATGAGACGTGAACTTAAAATTCCTATGTTATAAAGTCAAGCAAGCATCAAGAAACTCAAAATTGGTGTTTCTGATTGATGGTCCACATATAAATATACCCAGCCAAAAAAATTATTTCCATTTTGGAGAAGTTTCAATCACCTCAGTCCCACTCATGCTAAGGAAAACCCAACCCTCAGATACAGTATAGGCTGTTGTACATTATCTTACCACTTTCCGACTTTACTCATTTTCTCAAGCCCAGGGACCAAGATGATGAAGAAAGCCACATTCTGCCCCCATAAGACATGTTTGACAGCCATAGGGGACCCTTTAAGCATGGATGGAAGGATGCTAAGAGCACACACCGAAGATAAATCCAGGCCACACTCTCACCCTAAACACCTTGGAGTGCTACAAAGAAGGGGTCAGTGACACCCCTAATAAAAGCCAAGTCCAGGGACAGCTAGCTGGAAGGGGATTTCTGAAACAGAGAAGTGGGTGGTTTCTGCAAGGCATCTGCCAACTACAGCCAGGAGCAACATACTGAAGAGAAATTACATTATTGCTGTGCTCTTTGTGCTTTATAAAAATTTTATTGAAATGTTTGTACACTTTGTCCAAGCACACTTTCGAGGAGAGGCTCCAATATAAAGGAATTGGGGGATTGATGACAGGTACCCACTACACCCTTATGTCATGCATGGCTTACATGTACGGTAACTGCAAGTGCCATAGAAACACAAAATAGAGAAGGGCCAAACCCTGATTCCTAGATATTGAAGATGGGAGGTGAATGTGCTGTCAGGGAAGAGCAGACCATCTGCTGGGTAATCGGTCATTTTCCATTATCAGCTAACAACCCACAGGTGATGCAACACTGTTTCCCCACATGCCTGAGGTCAGAACTAAGACCTTAGGAGCTGCTGGGGGTGTCTATTGGAAGATGCGGATTCCAGCATGCATGCCCCTGCAGAACTACTGAGTCAAGACCTGAGACAGGTAGCCAGGAACCTGCAATTCAAACAAACTTGCAAGGAATTACTATGTCAAAGCAGAGGCATTTGAAATCTACTTTGCTGAGGGGGTAATGACCACTTACTCTTTAGTGAACATTAGTTTGACATGATTACTTTTGCTTTCATTTGGGTACCTGGATGTTTCTGGGGAAAACTGGCTGGGGCGAGTTGTGACAAGGATCACCCTGGACTTTTGGTAGCCAGAGAACCTCTGGAGGTGGGAGAAGGTGAAGAGGTGAGAGTGGAAGAGAGGCCAAGGCCCACCATGAGAAACCTCCAGATACAGAGCCTCCATCATTTCTCCCTCTGTCAGATGTTGCCCCGCCAAGGAAATCATGCCTGCTGCTTCCCTCTTCTGATGCCCCCCACCCCGTCCCTCCCTCTTTCTCCCCGTGGATATCAGGTGCCCTCTTAACTTTGTAAAACTCCCAACCGCTTAACATGCAGACTGAGGGAGTCAATTCAATTCTTCATGTTTTGTTAGGTGCTGGGATTTATCTTTTCCTCTGTGACAGTGTCCCTCCTCCTGGAGTCCGCATGGAGAACGCACCTCTTCTTCACTAGGTATTTCTCACGCCTGGACTGTCCTCCTGCCTGGACCCCCACATCATTCTACATCAGTGGAGCTTAACGTTGGCTGCACACCTGAATCCTCTACAGAGTTTTTTAAAACTGATGACTCCTGGATCCCAACTCCAGAGGTTCTGATTTAATTGGCCAGGGGTGTGCCCTGGACACTGGCATTTTTCAAAACTCCACAGATGATTCTAATATGCAGCCAAAGAGTCACTCCTCTAGACCCATAACTGCTGCACTGCAAAGAAATTTATAGGACCAGTGCTTCTCAACACTGACTACACACTAGAATCACCAGGGAAGCTTTAAAAATTACAAGCCCTGGGCTCCACCCCAGACCAAATAAATTGGAATCGCCAGAGGTACCAACCATGTGTCAGTAGCTTTCAAAGCCTCCCAGGTGATTGTAACATGCAGCCAGGATTGAAAACCACTGCTACAGACCAAAGGTGTGGCCAGAAGCAATCACAGATGGAAGAATTACCGAGTGTCGCCCTGTGGGTGAAAGCAAAGGAATAAGGAAAATATTCTCCACTTACACGGCTGCTACAATGAGAGTGTTTTGTTTTGTCTTTTTTTTTCAGGCTCTGATTCAGCTTCATCTATTTGCCTACCTTTTCCAGCTGTTAGTTGGTCACCTGCCTGCCAATATTTGTGCATAGGCTCTAGGAGTTTACAGTCAGTAAAGTATCCCACCTGCAGACTTAAACAGGGCTATTATCTGGCACAAAGTTGGAGTGATTGCTTCTGTATTGCAAAATGATTTTATCTGCTGGTCTTTCCCTCTATCAGTCTGAGAGAGAAAGAAGAACCCAGAAAAGGAGCAACTTAACAAGCCTGGCTGTGGGAATTTGAGGTTTCTGAACATCCACTGCCTACTGTTAGGCTTTCCCTAACATTTGAGATTATTACTAACAACTTTTCTCCAGATACGTATTTTTTAACCATAGATTTTTAGGACTGTATTTTTGAAATATCTTATACTACTTTATTACCTGTTTATCATATGAACCAAGAAGAGATGTTTAGGGGGAAACATTTCGCACTAAAATCCAATTGAGTAATGTTATCACTCAAGGCTATACAACAAGGCTAAAGAAAAGCCAGAGTCATTCAAATGGTCTATAATTTTTCAATTTCCAAATTCACTGCTTATCTCTGTTGTTCTCATATTTATTTTTGTGCACATTTCCTGGTGAAAACACAAGACAGCTCAGTCTTCGTTTATTAAAACACTAGGATTTATAGATTTTGTAATCTCCCTTAATTTCCCTTTATCTGCACTCTTTTTATTGCCTGATGTTCACTTTACCACATAATCAGTCCCTTTCCATAGGTTAGAAGATAAAGGAGGGAAAAGGGAGTTTCTGGAACTCAGTCCCTTTTCTATAGAGTGACCATTCTGATGAAGTCTCAGTGTTGGAAGAGTAGAAAACATTGATTAAGGCCAGGTGCGGTGGCTCACACCTGTAATCGCAGCACTTTGGGAGGCCAAGGCAGGCAGATCACCTGAGCTCAGAAGTTTCAGACCACCCTGGGCAACATGGTGAAACCCTGTCTCTACTAAAACACAAAAAATTAGCTGGGCATGGTGCACGCCTGTAGTCCCAGCTATTTGGAAGCCTGAGGCATGAGAATCGCTTGAGCCCTGGAGGCAGAGGTTGCAGTGAGCCTAGATCACACCATTGCACTCCAGCTTGGGCTACAGAGTGAGACCCTGTCTTATAAAAAAAATAAAAAGAGAAAGAAATATTGATTAAGTTAGTTTGGAGAATTATCTTAGAATATAATATACTTAGTTCCAAGTTATGTTAGTATATTATAGACACTTGTTAGTGTCCTTCATCAAATCCATCCCTCTTTTTCACTAGCAGCACGTTAATTTTCCGTCGGGCAATATACCCTTCCACTTTTCTTCAGTCAGGTGCAGAATAGCTGAGTCTAAACGAAGAATGACACAAACAAGCCATACTTGCAGGAAGCAGTCTGTCATTGAGATATGGTGAAGGAGACAGATTGTAAACATACCTACGCTTGCCAAAGTATGTTAAGTGAGAAGAAAGGAGTAAAAGAACTGTCTTTTACACAATACCCTGTGGAATAAGAATAATTTCTGACAGCCATTATTCTGGTCTCTCCACATTAGCAACTTCTTACAAATGGCTGTGAGCAATAGTAAAAATTAATCAGCATAGAAACTATACAAAAATATTATAATAGCAAAGAAGGAGAAAATCAGAAAAATAGAAAATATAAGGGAAAAATTGCTCAAGACCAAAGTTTTTTAAATTCTCAAAGTTTTTGATTTAATTTTCTAAGTATAAAATTTTATAAAAATATGTTTGAATGTTTCAAAACTCACTGACAGTGAATGCAAAGTTTTTAAGACATCTATTCTAAGAAACTCTTCCACCCAGTAGAACAGTTTTATCTGCTCCGGCAGTACACTAAATTCTTGGTGCAACCTCAGAGGAAGAAGAAAGTTATCATATATAAATTTCAGAATACCATCAATGGAAATATCTGATTTAAAATGCTTCTTTCTTCCTGTAGCGGGATTGGTAACTTATATTTTCCATAATAGAAAAACAAATTGTGAATTTTCATACTGATTGATGTTTCTTTTCCTTTTTCTCAAAGAAGAAAGGGAGTTATAAGAGAATTGAAAACCAGTAGAGAATGGCATCTGTTAGTAATCCGTGTACAATGCAGTTCAACACATAATTCCTTAAATTGTTCACGTCCATCTGATCTGCAATGCTGCTAATATGACCAGACCTCAAATGCAGCTAACTCCAAAGTGAGCATGAGGTTAGCATAAGAGGAACCAGGCTAGGGTAACACTACTCCTAGATTAAGCAGTGACTAATCACATTTACAAATCAAGAAGAAAAAAAGGAGTTGATCCCTAAATGCTGTTTTCATCAAAATCTTGCTTTTATGTATTATTATTAAACCCAATCCTTAGAAATATTGCTGCCTCATAGAACTTTATTTCTGCAAATAAGGTCTGGAAAATTCTTGGGTATGAGAGCGGTGAGCTTGAATAGATAGCTGAGACAGGAATCTCAGCATCCCTAATTACAGGTTCTATTATTTAGCCAGTGAATAAACCAATTCAAATCATTTCAACAAACATTTATTGAGATTATGCAATATGAAGAGATCTGATTTTACAAAGCTAAATATACAATAATGGTGAATACTATTCTCTGTTAAGAATAATAGAGACATAATTTCTCTATTAATAGAGAATATAACAATATTAGAGAACATAAAAATACTATTCTCTATTAATAGAGAAATTATTATAATAATATAAATAATATATTTTATCTATTAATAATTCTCTAATAATGTTATTATCTATGATTAATAATTAGAGAATATATTAGTAAATAAAACAATATCATTATTCTATATTAATAGAGAAATTATTATAACTTTTTTCTATCAATAATTTTCTTTTATAATATTATTCTGTATTAAAAATAATAGATATATAATTTCTCCTTCCCTTCCTATCTCTCCCTCTCCTTTAAAAATCTTTTCTGGGTTCATTTGAGTATCTTTACTCCTTTTATATGGACTCATATCCCAATGACTCATTAGAGTCTCTTGAATCCAGAGAACATTTTTAAAGGAGAGGGAGAGAGAGGAAGGGAGGGATAAATATTTCAGTTTTTGCTAAATAACACTAACTGTACTTAGTCAGCTCTGCTATAATGCAACATATGGATTCCTAAATATCACTGCACCACACAAAATCACGCAACAAAAACCATAGGGCTTATAGAGAAAATGAGGTTAAGGACATAACACTCAAAAACTTTGTCAGTGACATGTTTCACAAAGTTAAGAAATATGAATCTAAAACAAAACAGTAGTGCATATGTTAAATAGTTAAGAAATCATATATAGTACAGTAAACGTGGCATTTTACCTTGAGAAGATCTGAAGTTTGCTTGCGGAAGTGGGCATCACAGGGTTGCTGCTTGAGATTGCGAAGTGACAGAAGAAAGGTTACTTGCATAGGAGGGAAGTCAGGACAGCACTCACCACGTGCATGAGTGTGCACGGCTGTGGCCTCACACATTTGGCGAACTTGGGGAGCTGGCAGATATTTAAAGTGTGTGTGCTTTGTGTTGCCTACAAGGCTTGGTTGAGCTGGGTGCAGCTTTCTGGATTCACCTAGTGTCTCTCACTGACAAAACTGCGCAGAAGCCAACACAAAATTCACATTGTGTTCAAGTTGTTCCCTAACATATCAGTCGTGCTGGAACAAATTCAGTTTCCAAATAAGCATTATAGCAGAACTGACTTAAAATATATATATTCATATTCTAGTCTTTTGCAAAACAGTGTTCTTCCTCATCCACAAAGTATATTTGATTATTTTTGCCTAAGCAATTCAAAAAAATACTCCAAAACTTTGTATTTTAAAATAAGAACAGTAATCACACTACTTGCTAAAACTGGTGATAGTCCCAACCCCAGCTGCAGGTTCAGCATTCCACCTGCCTCGTCAAGCTCCAAGGCAACGTGACTGAAAGCTGACCTGTGGATCTAGGAGCTGGGGCCCTCAGCCCCCACCCAACAGAGGTTTCTTTTTGTCTCTGGCAATGAGTGCTGCTGATACCCAGCTACCTTGTAGACCACTTCTGGCTTCAATAGCATCGCATATTGAGGGTGGGTGCTGAACAAAGACAGCATCCTGCAATTCATCTTTAGTTCATCCTCTTGTCACTTTTCCTTGCACAGCCTTAGGACAAAAATCATCCTTTGCCTTTATGTATCAGTTTAATATAGGCCATCTCATATTCGATATGTGGTGGGCATTTTGGCACAACACGCAGTTAAAGCAGTCCCTTTAATATTTATGTAAAAACCTAAGTTTCCTCTACTCCCTTAATTATTTACCCGAGTAAGTACACATTAAGGCTCAGGCTAATGGGTGGTATGTTTTCTTATATGGACTCATATCCCAGTGAGGCATTATGACTGTCTGGTTGCAGTGATTCCTCAGGGCACTGTGGATAAGTCTATTCTCTATAGAACTGAAGCTTTCCTGGGTTATATCAGAAAGAAAAACAAATGGGAGTACCCAAAGCATCGTGGCTATAGAATTTTCTGCACACAGTTCTTTCCCAAAGGACACAGGCCACCCAATGGATGGTACACAGAACAAACACCATGTTGACATTGAAACCAATGGCATCTGCCTTGAGAAAACTCCACCAACTTCTCTTTAAATGTTTTGGCTTAATTTCACTTGGCTGTACATAAATTATTCTATGGGGCTTAATTCCTACAAAAGAGAATATAATCCAAGCTTCTGCTATAAATGCAGCTAGAATTGCATTCCGGTGCCAAGCAGCAGGGAGAGAAATCAAACAGTTGGCCCCTAGTGAATTAATCTATATGCCCCAGTTTCCTAACACTGAGCATGCCTCAGACAATAGGCTGGGTTTTAACTCTTTCTCATCAAGCCTTCATCATAAGCAGCCAGATTGCATTCCTCTTCTCATTTCTCACCCCATTACTCACAAAGAATATCTTTTCCCATGAAACCTGAGCTAACATACTCGGCAACCAACGCTAGAGTTTGCAGTAAAAAGTCAAGTCTCACCGTCAGAAGCACATTAGCATACAAAATATTTCTATAGGAAGAAAAAAAATCTGTGGATTGCAGAAGCTGCACACTCCATTGTCTTAAATGTTGCCGTTCTCGGTCAGAACGTTCACTCACCTCTACTTTGAGATAATACGTGTTCAGATCGTGGTAACCTTTTATAGCAATTGTAGGCCCTGTGTAGGAAGGAAATGTTAAAACTACATCCAATTAGATTCTACAGAAATTGGGGGAGGTCTTTT
This sequence comes from Homo sapiens, assembly GCF_000001405.40. Taxonomy (NCBI): domain Eukaryota; kingdom Metazoa; phylum Chordata; class Mammalia; order Primates; family Hominidae; genus Homo; species Homo sapiens. The sequence goes on from NC_000006.12 coordinate 156,347,749, forward strand.
AGACAGAAATCAAGACAAAGAGGTCAAAATAATTACTGTGCACTTTGCAAGGACTGTTCGTTTCTGTGAACCTCACTTAGTAAAGCATAAAGGCAACACTAGCCCATACTATGATGTTATGAAGAAAACTGCAAAGGAATCCAAACGAAAGGAAGCAGGAGTCATTTCACAACATCCTGAATTTATCGCACCCCGCCCAGCGGTCAGTAAGGCAGGCAAATGAACAGTTAAAAGGTTCCACTGAACCATAATCCCCAATCGTTATACTTAAATGGTTCCTCTCAATATAAAGGAGGCTCTTCAATAACCATAGATCTAATTTCTGTTAATTTTATGTAACTCTAACAGAGTCATTAACATTCGTGGAGCCCACTCCACATGTAGCCCCTCCCTCCCCTCCTCCCCTCATTTCTCCTACGGCATATCTCTTGAAAATTTAATTATTACCAGTAGAATTCCTGCACTAACTAAAGGCTTTTGCAATCAAATCAATAGTTGATGAAAGAGTGGTCCAAAAAAGCCATGTTAAATGCATTATCTTCCTTCCATTTCCACATCAGCCGTGTGGCTCCTTTCATGATGTTACAATTGGAGACCCTCAAAATAACATCACTTTCAGGGAGTTAAAATGTCTAAGTGTTATCCAGAGATCGCTATTATATATTTATAAGGACTCCCCTATATGCCTCTTCTGGATTTATTAAGTGCTCTAAGGATCTGTTTGGCTTATACCAACTACCACACACTGATCTGAGAAATCAAGGAGGAAATACTCAAGTGCTTAACCGGACAGAAAGGGAAATGTGTGTGGGTCTCATGACTGCTACAAGGAGCAAGGCCAATTTTATGTGTTACTTAGAAATGGAAATAAGTCATCTCCCCGCCCTCACCCTACTCTTACACCCCCCCAGCGTCTGCTCTAATGGAAGAGCCCAAATGCTGTGCAGTCTCTCTTTGTGCTTTTCCACCTATGAAGAGTCTCCAGCACAAAATAACATGCCTTTGGGGAGAAAGAGATGCTTCGGTGTTGTGTCCTTTGCTGCTATCAGTGGAATGGGCTTTGGTGCTTTAATTAGGCAACTGTTGTTGCATCAGAGATGGTTCTGTAAAGCAAACATCTTATCCAGGCCATGTGCAGTGTACCTCAAGGCATTTTGCTATATTCCCAGTATACGAGCATTTTTTAAACATCTGACACACACATATTTATAAATGGCTACCTGGTTCTCCAGCAGGGTGGGCAGGGAGAATTGCAGACTGTGCAATGCATGATTGCACTGTGTACATTACTAGACTACTACAGACTAGGCTGGAGAGGTGCATTTAGATAAATTCTCTGGATAAACAACCAGAGTACTCTCTTAAAGGGCTGACAGGCTGAATAAATAAGCGGGAATCCTAATATATAGGACCAGGTGTGCAAACACAGTTCAGTTCCTCTCATCTAACCAATATGGGATGCAGCATCACATTATCTAGAAAATTCAGCCTGCCACTATTTTCCTGCTAAATTGTGCAGATAATTACTTCACTCTTCCATTTCACTTTGACTTAGAAATCTAGTCACAGGATAATAACAGGTCATACAGGGCAGAAGCTCATTTGCTTATTTAAAATGCTCGTCTATCAACAACCAATTCCCATGTGCTTTGTACTGCCCTCAGGACGTTTTATTCTAAAGGAAGTAAAAACTCGGACTCTTAAAAAAAAAATCAGTGGACATGAACAATGATCCTTTAAGAACAGGATTCAATGAGAAAGAATACAATGCTGTGGGAACAGAGAAGCCAGAGCCCCAGGAAGGCTTAATGGCACACAGAGGCTTGCCACGGCCTCTGGCAGACCCCTGACCTTCACATCATCCATAGAGAATGAAATGGGCATACATCACAGAGTAAATGCATAAGGCTGCTGCCAGCCAGTGGTAGCCAGAAACATCAGACTCCCATAACAGACCTGGTGGCCCCAAGGGTGGAGGGAATCACTATCTCATGACCCCTGGTAACCCACTCAAAGTCCTCCAGTTGGGACACTCTGCTTTCAAACAAGCATAAGTTGAGATTTAATTAAGCAGAGAGAAGGATATGAGAAATCAGAAGAAACTGTGGTATGAACTAATGCATCATTCTTTGAAAAGCAGCTATAGCTTTTGCTAAGATAAATGTAACCAAGAAACAAAGCCTCAAAAAGTAGTGTGGTTCAATGATTAGGTGCCCAGGTTTTAGAAAGTTCTGGGTTTTAGACTCTGCCCTGCTATCAAATAGAAGCATGCCCCTGGGCAAATTATTTAACTTCTCCAAGAAAAGGAGGGGTTTCCTAGTCCCTACCTATTACTATAATTGTTCCCACAGACCTATGTTGTGATGAATTAATGAGATCATGTGAATAAAGCGCTTTGCACAGAGCCTGGCATATGGAATGTTCCACAAATGCCAGCAATGATATTAGTAATATAAGTATTGCTAGTTATGTTGCTAAGTGTTGTCTGAAGCTGGAACTCAGCAGCTTAGGAGGGAGGATAGTATGACTTTTAAAAACTAGGGATATGCAAACATGTTATGTATTTGCTGGTGCAGAAAAAAAAAGAAAAAAGAAACAATTATTTCAGAGGCAGAAGTTCTGGTCGAATCAGAGAACAAGGAATGTTTTTGACAGCTGTCTAGGGCCAATTAGGACTTCTGTTTCAGATGACACATTCAAATGCTTATCTGTGAAGTAGCCCCATTTTCTATTCTACACCCCCTCACCGCTTCTGTACATTCACTTTTGCAGATGCATGGATAAACAGATACAACATTTACTGCAATTGCCAAAGAAGCTGCCCATCACTGTCACGCCAGCTGCACAGTCTTCACTGAGGGAGCTTCCAAGTGCCATTTTATTAATGTGGAGAGAAGAATAACAGATCATAAATGTTTGAGGTCTATCCAGCCGGAGTACAGGGGATTATCTATTATCCTGTGTGAGTTAAACCTAAGTCAAAGTTAGTTATGGAATTTGAGATGATGCTGAATTTCCCTGAAACCTAAGAGAACATAATTTGTAGCCTCGTCAGTTGTGACGTATAAATACATATGATCTCCAAAGAAGAACATAAATGATAAATTATCAGTACCTACAGGGCACCATGTACTAAGTAAGCAATCAATTTAGATTGGCAATATAGAGCACCTTCCTCTTTGCAGTATATATTCATACAAAATTTCTCAGAAAGAAAAAAAGATTTGCAATTGCAAGATGTCATTAGTTGTACATTTTGTCTTATTATTTAGAAATAGACATTTCAACGCCTACAGTGAAATGTCCATATAAAACACATTTATAAAGTACTTCATTTACCTGTTACTTGACATCTATTTATCACTCTCAACTTCCCCATCACCCAGTGAAAACTGCAAGAGCAACTTTAACTCCATTCTATAGATGAAGAAACTGAACCTAAAGAAATTAAGTAATTAACCGTAGACCATGTGATTTGAAAAGCTGAGAGCCAGCACTCAAAGATCCAAGCCCTAGATCTAAGATAAAGATCCTAGGTCTTTCAACTATTGTCCACTCCTCATTATCCGTTTACCTCATCATATATTGTCCTATTATGGAGGCATTGTTTCAGGGACAGGAACAGTCAAGGCTGAGGATGAATGAGTACAACTGTCCCCACATGGCAGTACAAGTCAAGAAATGTCAGTACAAGTCAAGAAAACACATAAGGCAGAAGCTTCAGGAGTGCACAGGCACAACGCCAGCCTGTCGGGTGGACTGGCTCTATCTATTGGTTTTGAAGAGGAGGGTGGAATATGAGCCCTGAGGAGCCAAAAATGACAGGGACAGAGTCTGGGATTTATCCCAGAAGCAATTGAGAGCCATCAAATGATTTTTAGCTGAGGAATGATATAATTCAATATGTGTTCCAAAAAGATAAGGTTGGCAAGGGTTGGAGCCTGGACTTCAGGCACTGGAAGCCCTGGCAGAGGAGCTGGGGGCTGAAAGAGGAATAGAACAGCCCCTTGGGAATGGTGTGTTACAACTCAGGGTTAGCTTTGGCTTGGGTGGTTCTAGAACATGGACAAATAACTCCTACTGAACTGTGAATTCTTTGCAGGAGCTCGTGTTTTATTCATCTTCGTGTTCCCGTGAATTATACAGTGCAAAAACTGCTTAGAAGGCTTCCCCTCCTAGACAGCCCAACAGCACCTCAACCTCAGCCGGAATGAAACTGAATGTGTTACTGCGCACCCAAACAGAGCTTCTCTTCCTGCTTTCTCTCTCCTGGTAAATGTGGCACTGCCATTCCAAATCTGGCATGCATCCTAAGATCCTTTCTCTCCCTTATCCCCATCTCCCATTCAACTGGTTTCTATATAATGCTACCTCTCCTAATGTCTCTCACACCTATATCCTCTTCACTTTCTGTGGGGTTTGACCAGAAGCTCCTAATCAAATCTTGTCCGCAAACCTACCCTTTTTTGGTCTACCTTCAACATTCCTATCAGAGGCATCATTATAAAACAAAAACATGATTATGTCACTGACCTGCTTAAAACCCTTCTTTGGCCCACCATTGCCTAGAGTTCTCTTGAGTTCAAGCTCAGCATCATCCCAAACCTGCAAAGCCCCACCATGAACTGGCCTCTCATCTCCAGCCAGTCATCTCCAAGCATGGAAGCTGTAGTCAAATGACCTGCCAAGCATGCGCACTGAGTCTAGGAGACTTCACTTTCACCCTGCACTTTGGTCCCACCCACACTCATTATCTTCCTGGAGATCTCCAAATCATCCCACCTCTACCATCCCCTCTTCTAAGAAAGCTTCTCTCACACAGTCACCATCCTTTGCCAGGGCCCCAGGGCAGAAGTCATCTGTCCCTCTTTTTATGAAACTATTCTATCTTTGTTTACCACCATAAGAATTCTTGACCAGGCGCAGTGGCTCACACCTGTAATCCCAGCACTTTGAGAGGCCAAGGCAGGAAGATCCCCTGAGGTCAGAAGTTCGAGACCAGCCTGGCCAACATGGCAAAATCCCATCTCTACTAAAGGTACAAAAATTAGCTGGGTGTGGTGGTGGGCACCTGTAATCCCAGCTACTCAGCAGGGTGAGGCAGGAGAATCGCTTGAACCCAGAAGGCAGAGGTTGCAGTGAGCCAAGGTCACACCACTGCACTCCAGCCTGGGCAACAAGAGTGAGACTCCATCTCAAAAAAGAAAAGAAAAGAAAAAGAGTTCTTATCCCATTGTATTAAAGGCAAATATTTGTATACTACTTAAGGGCAGGGCTGTTGCCTAATTCAATTCTCTCTTCAGCACCCAAGACTTTATACATAATAGGCACTCTTTAAACATTTACATAAATTATACATATTTTAAACACAAAATGATTGAATTTTAAAATGTGTTTCCAACTTAAGGGCAGGGATGTTGCCTAATTCAATTCTCTCTTCAGTACCCCAGACTTTATACATAATAGGCACTCTTTAAACATTTACATAAGTTAGAGTATACATATTTTAAACACAAAATGATTGAATTTTAAAATGTGTGTCCAGCCTGGACAACAAAGTGAGACTCCATCTCTACAAAAACAAAAACAAAAAAAAAAACACTTTTAATTAGACAGGTGCAGTGGAACGTGTCTGTAGTTCCTACTCGAGAGGCTGAGGCAGGAGGATCACCTGAGCCCAACCTGGGTGACAGAGTAAGACTCCATCTTAAAATACATATATATATTTTAAATGTGTCAATGCTGGAAGATTTTTGCTTCTCTATTCTCAACTGCATGAGTACAGTAACTCTACTTATAGAATCTGACAACTGGCATTTGAAAGACATATAAATACATATATACCAATATATAGGGGCATGTGTATGTGTCCCAGAAACTTACAATCAATTTCATTATGGCATGGTTACACTTTACACACAAAAAGTAGGTTGGCACTTGACAGGTGTATGTGGATATACATGATGAGATTTAAAGAGCCCAAGATGAAGATATAAGTCTCAACGTTCCTTTAAATGAGATTAAAATAATTTTTCCTCACTTTAGTTTTATTTCTCTTTTGTATATCAAAACTTTTGCCTATAGAAATTTCTTGAAATCAGAAGTTTAAAGACTTCTTTGGTCAATGATTGGTGAATGGGTTAAAGTGCTCTACAGCATTTGGCTTACCAACCTGGATGCCTAGCTTACCAACATTGATTCCATTTGTTGAAGCTGTTGGACAACTAATGGCTATTAAGTCTATCACGATGACCTTCAAAGTCTTTTATTTTTTCCCCTTAAAGCTTCAAACTGGAAATTTTTGTGAGCTACTTTGAGATATTCTAAATAAAATACAATTATAATTAGATAGCTTGTCTTGAATAATACAATGCCTGGCATGGCAGAGATATTTGTTATTGTTAAATACCTCTTCCTTACTTGATTTGACAATCCCTGAGCACAGGAAGTAAGTCTTATTAACAGTGCAGCCTCCATAGAGTCAACCGCTTTGCTCAATGTTTGTTTAAGAAGTGGGTGCTCACAGGCATTCAAAATTGGGCAAGACAGGCACATTCTTCAAACGCTATTTGTGTTGGTTTCATTACCTTAAAAATTGAGTTCATTGGTCTCCATAGGTACCAGTCATTATTAAATTGAGCACCCTATTTGACTATTACAGGTACAAATCAAGTACACAGGCATGAATGCTAGTTTCCATCTGGCGCTACCGACCCAAATGTGAAATCTGAGGAATTGTCTAAGGAGAAATCAGCCTCAAAATCAGGGAATAGAAACAGTGATCCATAAATGCTGTTTCTCCATCTGCAACAGTGATAAGTCACAAACAAGTAAAGTGAGGCGTATTATCACTGTTAACTGTCTCAGATCACCATCTGCAAAAAGAGCACAACAGAATGGAAATAGCTTTTATAAAGTATTCGATACAATTTAAACATCTCATGATATGCAGTGGGGCACTCCAAGATGTGCCAGATGCTATTAAATACAGCTTGCTGTATGAGAAAATCATGCAAAATACATTTGCCAATTGAATTATATTGCAGGGCATAAAGGGCCGAGTACATAAACAAATCCCCATTACCTTGGTCTGTGGGCATTTTTCCTTGTAACTTTTGGATATATAACAAGAGAAATAAGAATAACTGTAATGCTTTTATTTTTATTATCATACTTTAAGTTTTAGGGTACATGTGCACAATGTGCAGGTTAGTTACATATGTACACATGTGCCACACTGGTGTGCTGCACCCATTAACTCGTCATTTAGCATTAGGTGTATCTCCTAATGCTATCCCTCCCCCTCCCCCCACCCCACAACAGTCCCCAGAGTGTGATGTTCCCCTTCCTGTGTCCATGTGTTCTCATTGTTCAATTCCCACCTATGAGTGAGAATATGCGGTGTTTGGTTTTTTTGTCCTTGCGATAGTTTACTGAGAATGATGATTTCCAATTTCATCCATGTCCCTACAAAGGACATGAACTCATCATTTTTTATGGCTGCATAGTATTCCATGGTGTATACATGCCACATTTTCTTAATCCAGTCTATCATTGTTGGACATTTGGGTTGGTTCCAAGTATTTGCTATTGTGAATAGTGCCACAATAAACATACGTGTGCATGTGTCTTTATAGCAGCATGATTTATAGTCATTTGGGTATATACCCAGTAATGGGATGGCTGGGTCAAATGGTATTTCTACTTCTAGATCCCTGAGGAATCGCCACACTGACTTCCACAATGGTTGAACTAGTTTACAGTCCCACCAACAGTGTAAAAGTGTTCCAATTTCTCCACATCCTCTCCAGCACCTGTTGTTTCCTGACTTTTCAATGATTGCCATTCTAACTGGTGTGACATGGTCTCTCATTGTGGTTTTGATTTGCATTTCTCTGATGGCCAGTGATGGTGAGCATTTTTTCATGTGTTTTTTGGCTGCATAAATGTCTTCTTTTGAGAAGTGTCTGTTCATGTCCTTCGCCCACTTTTTGATGGGGTTGTTTTCTTTTTTTCTTGTAAATTTGTTTGAGTTCATTGTAGATTCTGGATATTAGCCCTTTGTCACATGAGTAGGTTGCGAAAATTTTCTCCCATTTTAATGCTTTTATTTTTTAGCTAACAATATGCTTTCAAAGCATCCACCATTATAGCACAAAACACATCATAGCATGTACCCATTTCTCACTTAATAAGAACAAGATTTACTATTTACATTGCTATCGTTTTTGCTTAATACTGTAGCCTTGGGAATTGTTTGCCAAGGAGCCACCATGGGAAAGATGCACAGTCACAAAAATAATTATAGGTATCCAGTCATTTGTTAAAACTATTTTTTAAATAACAAACGTTGTATAAATGCAGGATATTTTTCTTAACCTTAATGTAGCAATGAACATCTGTAAACCTTTTTATATTTTGCAGAGAATTTTCACTTTTCCATATTATCTTCTGAATTAGGATTTTACCCATAAGATAGGTAAGGCAAGTATTACTTAGTAGATAAACATGAGAAACTAAGGTTTCCAGGGATGAAGTGATTTACCCAAGGATGCCAAGGAACAAGACTTCACACAGGAGAGCTCCAGGTCAAACGTCCCCTCCACACCCTATGTCCGTTCACTCCCCTAGGACCTCCTCAGGAGGGGCTGCCTGGAAGAGGAAGCTTGGGCTGGACAGGATCTCCTAGGTCCCCAGGCTCTGAGGATACAACTCTTTTATGTATCACTTATGCCCTGAAGCATGTTTAGGGTTAAGAATGCAGAGTGAGAAATTCACGTGCTGAAATGCTAAGTACTGCGGGGAAGGTAAAGTCCAGGATGGAGCATCCTGAGCTAAGACCAAGTGTAGGAGCAGGAACATGAACCAGTTCACCAACATCAGGGTTCACCTATCCTCAGGACTCACTTCCATGCTTCCCTCTCAGCAGCGGTCTAGTCTTCCAGCTGTCATACAACTGACCATCAGCCCCATCTCATGGAGAAACGTTTTGCTCAATCCCCTGTGGATCAAATAAAAATGGTTTGCTTCAAGTAGAGTTGGAAACTAACTCACAAAGCTGTAGGCATTTTTTTGTCATGGTAGATGGATGGAAGGTTATTTTTCAAAGTTGCAGACATTTATGCATAAGGATTAGCCTGACTAAGATTCTTGCTCACAGACACAGAGAGTGGAACAAAAAGAGTCATCCAAAGGGAGCAGGCCTTTGGTGACATACCAAACACTGAGGAACTGACCAGAGCCCAGCCCGTGAGAAATATTTATTTTATTCATACATCATAAGTCGTCTTTTTTTGTGGATAGGAAACTGGCACAGAAACCAGTTAGAAGGAGAAGAAATACTGAGTATGCAGCAGAATGACAGCAGCAAAGATGCCATGTTGAAGAGATGGGATTGCCAGGGCAATGAGACGTAGAAACATCAATTATAACATCACGTGTAGAACCAGATAGGACCATTAGCAAAGGTGGGGATGTCAGATTGGTGAGATTGTGGGTTCAGGGGTGAGGAAGGGAGTGGAATACGCCCTTCTTGAGGGGACCCATCATGGGCATGTTAATGGGCATCAAGGCTGCACTGCTGAGATGGTAGTGTGAGATGACCAGGAAGAAAGTGTGCTGGTGCTAGTGATACTCAGAGTGAGTTTCAAAGCCTGGGGATAGGGGAGACCGGCTGGACAACACCGAGAGCAGTAGAAAAGACGATCGAGGCCGGGCCCGGTGGCTCACACCTGTAATCTCAGCACTTTGGGAAGCCAACGTGGGTGGATCAGCTGAGGTCAGGAGTTTGAGACCAGCCTGACCAACATGGTGAAACCCCTTCTCTACTAAAAATACAAAATTAGCTGGGTGTGATGGCGCATGCTTGTAATCCCAGCTACTCAGGAGACTGAGGCAAGGGAATCACTTGAACCGGGGAGGCCGAGGGTGCAGTGAGCTGAGATCACACCATTGCACTCCAGCCTGGGCAACAGAGCGAGATTCCATCTCAAAAAAAAAAAAAAAAAAAAAAAAGAAAGGAAAAGAAAAGATGATCGAGATGCTTAAGCACCTGACTCCAAGGTCAGAATGCCTAGGTTTGAATCCTAGCTCTGACATTTGCTAGCCCTATAAACTTAGTCAATCATTTAACCTCTCTGTCCCTCAATAGCCTCATTGGCAACATGGAACTAATAGCAGCCTCTGCTACACAGGGTGTGGCCATCGCTGACTATGTTCATATACGGAAAGCATGGAGAATAGTGTCTAGTGAATATTTAGTGCTACAGAAAGGCGTATTAGTGAAAATAATAGTGGCAATGATAAAAATATGAATGGATGTTTACATTTGGGGAGGAAGAGGAAAGGAAAAGAATAAAGCAGCAGCAAAAGGCAACCTAGGGGAAACCAAAAAGGGGAGAACTTACCAATGACTCCTCATGTAAATAAAATGCTAAGAGGGTTTTAGGCTGGAGAGGTTAATTAACAATATTAAAGGCTAGAGAAAGGGCCAGGGAAATCATACCTGAGAAAATATTCCTAGATTTGGGAGGTTGGAGGCCATTGATGACCTTAAGGAAAGCAGTTACCATAGACAATGGCAAGCAGCAGCCAATGTTTAAGTGAGGGGAACAGGGTAAGAAACAAGAAGTGCAGGCTATTCATTCAAGAATTTTAAAGGGGAAAAAGGAGGGGGAATAAGAGAGTTGCCAATGGGACTGCGGCATATAAAGTAGACTTGTTTTAAGGCTGGGAAATCTTAATATATCAAAAGAGAGAAGAGGCCCACAGAAAGAAAGAGAATAAGGCAACGAGTTAAAAGTAGAGAAAACTAATGAGGCTGGATGTGTGAGGAGGCAGCAGGAATTCAACCATGGCACAGGGAGGGGAGTGTCGAAGAGGGAAGGGCCGTGCCTGTCCTCGGAAAAGAGAAGGAAGGGACAGGAGAACATGCAGATAAATACTGAGGTGGAGCGGGGACAGTGAGGGGGCTGAATTTAAATGGAAATGTTCTTCCCATTAAAGTGAAGTCCATTTTCCAGGGATGCTTGAGGGTTATTGGGTTGAGAATTTGAGAAAAAAAATAATTTAAAGAAAAAAAAAACACTCCTGGTTTCTGTATGATGTGTTACACGAATGCCTAGGAGACTCAATTACCACATTTTTGTGACCATCTTCGGCAGCTCTTGGTCACATGGAAGCTAGACGCAAAGTCCAAGATTGGCAAATCCAGAGCACAGGTGTTCCAGGACACTAAGAAGAGTACAGCTGAGATACCTGACCAGGCTAGGCAGGGGAACTGTGAAGCCAGGAGGGACTGTAAGGACCAGAAGAGCAGAGACAGCACCATACTTAAGGTTTTGTTAAGAATAAAAAATACAAAAAAAAAGTATGTAGGAAGTAAAGTATTAGGAGGGTGGTTATGGCTGGGAAGAAAGGCAGGGGCGGGACCACAGAACTAGAGACACTAGAAGTCGAGAGCCACCTATTAGGGATGATCGCTTGACTTTGGGGATGAGCTAGAGGGTCATTTCACAAGGACGGGTCCCCAGATGCCCTTGGCCAACCCAGCTCTCCCCTGCTCCTAATTCTCAACTGTAGGATGTGCTGGGAATGCAACCTCTCGAGATAAGAAGGAATGGTCTAGAACAGCCCAGGCTCTGTTCCCATTCCTCTCATAATAGTGATATAGGAGTTAAGAAGAAATTACTTAGGCAGATAGTGAGGGTACAGGAGTAAGGTTTTTCCTTTTTAATGAAAAGCCGCCCCCAAATCATTTTCTAACAAAGAGCAGCCTGTAAAATTGAGCTGCAGACATAGACAAGCAAGCTGGAAGCTTGCACAGGTGAATGCCCACAGGAAAAATGCTACCTGGGACTAGACATGTTCAAAATGGCAGCTCCATCTTCCCTCCTCTTTGCCAGCCACGTGTACAGTAAGGAGCAGACGAGATTGCGCCAGTCAGGTGGAAAGCCCATTTGCATAATAAGATTAGGGTGGGGTGGCCAGCCATCCCTGCACGCTATGTAAACGTCACACCTGATCGAACCAATCTGTGAGCCCTACCTAAATCAAACACTGCCTACTCAAGCCTGCCTATAAAATCCAGAGAACTCCACCAGCCGCTCTTTCCTTTTGGAAGCCCCTCTTTCCTTTTGGAAGCCCCTCTCTCTCACTAGAGAGAGAACGGTTCTCCTTTCTCTTTCTTTTGCCTATTAACGTCCTCTCCTAAATTCCTCATGTGTGTCCGTGTCCTAAATTTTTTTGGCGCTAGACGACGAAGCCCGGGCACTTACCCCAGACAACATCACCACTTCAATAGAATGTACAGGCCCCGCAATCCCAATCTTCCCCAGGATGTAGAAACCCAGAGCAGAGTGCTTTGGGGGTCCCCTGGCGGTGGTAGGATGTAGGGCATGCACAGACAAATCCCATCCGCCACACGCAGCTTTCCCTTTACCTTGGGAGATGCGCTTGCCAGGAATCCTAGGCTTCTTTTGTGTCTTGTTTGTCTGTATTACAGTTGCTCCACTTAATTTGTTGTGCATGTGTTCCATCTTACCAGACTGGTGCAAGTGTTGGAAACTTCAGATTGGTAACTGGTGCACACCAAGCCTGCTTCACAGTAGTGGGTGCCAAGGAGCTGCTAGGCCTATCCTGTTTCATCCGAGAGGAAAACCTCACTAATCCTTTTCCTATTTCTAACTTTTTTCTTGCTTCAGTCCAGAGACCAAAATTAAAATGTAAAAGGTAGGATTCTACAAGACAAATGCTGTTTTTTGTTTCTTTGTTATCATTTTTATTATTATTGTCATTATTGTTATCCTATAACTTGTCATTTTCAAGACAACCTTTGGAGAGAAGGGGAAAAAAACACATGGGCTCTGATCCCATCTCAAACTGGAACCACACTTTTTGATTCTCAGTGTAGAGCTCATTAGTGCTGCCTGGGTTACTTCCATCAGCAAAAACAACTCTGGTCTAGGACTTCCTAAAATAACAGAGGCCAGAAACTCTTTTCCTGAGCTTGCCAAACTTGTGCGTTTCCATGACTTTGAAAATACCTGTGCTTTAGCCTGGAACACTCTTCCTACTACTCTTGCCTACTTAAAAAATTCTAACTTATCCCTCAAGTCTCAGATGAAGAAGTACTTGTTCTATGCAGCTCCCACGGATTCACTCAGACAGCAAGTACCACAGAGTCAGTATTTTTCAAAATAATGCCTGAGAGTTCCTTAGATCAGTGAGTCATGTCCTTCCCTGCACACCAGCTACCACCAAAGCCAAGCCAATAAAGCTTGGCTCTCCATCTGAGTCCATTTTGCTTTTGTATTTTGCTATAACAGCATATCACAGACCAGGTATTCTGTGTAAACACAAATGGTAGCAATTCTAGCAAAATACAAATGCTTAGTCCATTTGTATTTTGCTATAACAGAATACCACAGACTGAATCATTTATGAACCAAAGAAGTTCATTTGGCTCACAGTTCTGGACGCTAGGAAGTTTAAGATTGAGGGGTCGGAGGAGGAGCCAAGATGGCCGAATAGGAACAGCTCTGGTCTACAGCTCCCAGCATGAGCGACGCAGAAGACGGGTGATTTCTGCATTTCCATCTGAGGTACCGGGTTCATCTCACTAGGGAGTGCCAGACAGTGGGCGCAGGCCAGTGGGTGCGCGCACCGGGCACGAGCCGAAGCAGGGCGAGGCATTGCCTCACCTGGGAAGCGCAAGGGGTCAGGGAGTTCCCTTTCCGAGTCAAAGAAAGGGGTGACGGACGCACCTGGAAAATTGGGTCACTCCCACCCGAAGATTGCGCTTTTCAGACCGGCTTAAAAAACGGCGCAGCAGGAGACTATATCCCACACCTGGCTCAGAGGGTCCTACGCCCACGGAATCTCGCTGATTGCTAGCACAGCAGTCTGAGATCAAACTGCAAGGCAGCAACGAGGCTGGGGGAGGGGCGCCCGCCATTGCCCAGGCTTGCTGAGGTAAACAAAGCAGCCGGGAAGCTCCAACTTGGTGGAGCCCACCACAGCTCAAGGAGGCCTGCCTGCCTCTGTAGGCTCCACCTCTGGGGTCAGGACACAGACAAACAAAAAGACAGCAGTAACCTCTGCAGACTTAAATGTCCCTGGCTGACAGCTTTGAAGAGAGCAGTGGTTCTCCCAGCACACAGCTGGAGATCTGAGAACGGGCAGACTGCCTCCTCAAGTGGGTCCCTGACCCCCGAGCAGCCTAACTGGGAGGGACCCCCCAGCAGGGGCACACTGACACCTCACATGGCAGGGTATTCCAACAGACCTGCAGCTGAGGGTGCTGTCTGTTAGAAGGAAAACTAACAAACAGAAAGGACATCCACACCGAAAACCCATCTGTACATCACCATCATCAAAGACGAAAAGTAGATAAAACCACAAAGATGGGGAAAAAACAGAACAGAAAAACTGGAAACTCTAAAACACAGAGCGCCTCTCCTCCTCCAAAGGAACGCAGTTTCTCACCAGCAACGGAACAAAGCTGGATGGAGAATGACTTTGACGTGCTGAGAGAAGAAGGCTTCAGACGATCAAATTACTCTGAGCTACGGGAGGACATTCAAACCAAAGGCAAAGAAGTTGAAAACTTTGAAAAAAATTTAGAAGAATGTATAACTAGAATAACCAATACAGAGAAGTGCTTAAAGGAGCTGATGGAGCTGAAAACCAAGGCTCGAGAACTACGTGAAGAATGCAGAAGCCTCAGGAGCCGATGCGATCAACTGGAAGAAAGGGTATCAGCAATGGAAGATGAAATGAATGAAATGAAGCGAGAAGGGAAGGTTAGAGAAAAAAGAATAAAAAGAAATGAGCAAAGCCTCCAAGAAATATGGGACTATGTGAAAAGACCAAATCTACGTCTGATTGGTGTACCTGAAAGTGATGCGGAGAATGGAACCAAGTTGGAAAACACTCTACAGGATATTATCCAGGAGAACTTCCCCAATCTAGCAAGGCAGGCCAACGTTCAGATTCAGGAAATACAGAGAACGCCACAAAGATACTCCTCGAGAAGAGCAACTCCAAGACACATAATTGTCAGATTCACCAAAGTTGAAATGAAGGAAAAAATGTTAAGGGAAGCCAGAGAGAAAGGTCGGGTTACCCTCAAAGGGAAGCCCATCAGACTAACAGCGGATCTCTCGGCAGAAACCCTACAAACCAGAAGAGAGTGGGGGCCAATATTCAACATTCTTAAAGAAAAGAATTTTCAACCCAGAATTTCATATCCAGCCAAACTAAGCTTCATAAGTGAAGGAGAAATAAAATACTTTACAGACAAGCAAATGCTGAGAGATTTTGTCACCACCAGGCCTGCCCTAAAAGAGCTCCTGAAGGAAGTGCTAAACATGGAAAGGAAAAACTGGTACCAGCCGCTGCAAAATCATGCCAAAATGTAAAGACCATCGAGACTAGGAAGAAACTGCATCAACTAACGAGCAAAATCACCAGCTAACATCATAATGACAGGATCAAATTCACACATAACAATATTAACTTTAAATATAAATGGACTAAATGCTCCAATTAAAAGACACAGACTGGCAAGTTGGATAAAGAGTCAAGACCCATCAGTGTGCTGTATTCAGGAAACCCATCTCATGTGCAGAGACACACATAGGCTCAAAATAAAAGGATGGAGGAAGATCTACCAAGCCAATGGAAAACAAAAAAAGGCAGGGGTTGCAATCCTAGTCTCTGATAAAACAGACTTTAAACCAACAAAGATCAAAAGAGACAAAGAAGGCCATTACATAATGGTAAAGGGATCAATTCAACAAGAGGAGCTAACTATCCTAAATATATATGCACCCAATACAGGAGCACCCAGATTCATAAAGCAAGTCCTGAGTGACCTACAAAGAGACTTAGACTCCCACACATTAATAATGGGAGACTTTAACACCCCACTGTCAACATTAGACAGATCAACGAGACAGAAAGTCAACAAGGATACCCAGGAATTGAACTCAGCTCTGTACCAAGTGGACCTAATAGACATCTACAGAACTCTCCACCCCAAATCAACAGAATATACATTTTTTTCAGCATCACACCACACCTATTCCAAAATTGACCACATAGTTGGAAGTAAAGCTCTCCTCAGCAAATGTAAAAGAACAGAAATTATAACAAACTATCTCTCAGACCACAGTGCAATCAAACTAGAACTCAGGATTAAGAATCTCACTCAAAGCCACTCAACTACATGGAAACTGAACAACCTGCTACTGAATGACTACTGGGTACATAATGAAATGAAGGCAGAAATAAAGATGTTCTTTGAAACCAACGAGAACAAAGACACAACATACCAGAATCTCTGGGACGCATTCAAAGCAGTGTGTAGAGGGAAATTTATAGCACTAAATGCCCACAAGAGAAAGCAGGAAAGATCCAAAATTGACACCCTAACATCACAATTAAAAGAACTAGAAAAGCAAGAGCAAACACATTCAAAAGCTAGCAGAAGGCAAGAAATAACTAAAATCAGAGCAGAACTGAAGGAAATAGAGACACAAAAAACCCTTCAAAAAATCAATGAATCCAGGAGCTGGTTTTCTGAAAGGATCAACAAAATTGATAGACCGCTAGCAAGACTAATAAAGAAAAAAAGAGAGAAGAATCAAATAGACACAATAAAAAATGATAAAGGGGATATCACCACTGATCCCACAGAAATACAAACTACCATCAGAGAATACTACAAACACCTCTACGCAAATAAACTAGAAAATCTAGAAGAAATGGATACATTCCTCGACACATACACTCTCCCAAGACTAAACCAGGAAGAAGTTGAATCTCTGAATAGACCAATAACAGGAGCTGAAATTGGGGCAATAATCAATAGTTTACCAACCAAAAAGAGTCCAGGACCAGATGGATTCACAGCTGAATTCTACCAGAGGTACAAGGAGGAACTGGTACCATTCCTTCTGAAACTATTCCAATCAATAGAAAAAGAGGGAATCCTCCCTAACTCATTTTATGAGGCCAGCATCATTCTGATACCAAAGCCGGGCAGAGACACAACCAAAAAAGAGAATTTTAGACCGATATCCTTGATGAACATTGATGCAAAAATCCTCAATAAAATACTGGCAAACCGAATCCAGCAGCACATCAAAAAGCTTATCTACCATGATCAAGTGCGCTTCATCCCTGGGATGCAAGGCTGGTTCAATATATGCAAATCAATAAATGTAATCCAGCATATAAACAGAGCCAAAGACAAAAACCACATGATTATCTCAATAGATGCAGAAAAAGCCTTTGACAAAATTCAACAACCCTTCATGCTAAAAACTCTCAATAAATTAGGTATTGATGGGACGTATTTCAAAATAATAAGAGCTATCTATGACAAACCCACAGCCAATATCATACTGAATGGGCAAAAACTGGGAGCATTCCCTTTGAAAACTGGCACAAGACAGGGATGCCCTCTCTCACCGCTCCTATTCAACATAGTGTTGGAAGTTCTGGCCAGGGCAATCAGGCAGGAGAAGGAAATAAAGGGTATTCAATTAGGAAAAGAGGAAGTCAAATTGTCCCTGTTTGCAGATGACATGATTGTTTATCTAGAAAACCCCATCGTCTCAGCCCAAAATCTCCTTAAGCTGATAAGCAACTTCAGCAAAGTCTCAGGATACAAAATCAATGTACAAAAATCACAAGCATTCTTATACACCAACAACAGACAAACAGAGAGCCAAATCATGAGTGAACTCCCATTCACAATTGCTTCAAAGAGAATAAAATACCTAGGAATCCAACTTACAAGGGATGTGAAGGACCTCTTCAAGGAGAACTACAAACCACTGCTCAAGGAAATAAAAGAGGATACAAACAAATGGAAGAACATTCCATGCTCATGGGTAGGAAGAATCAATATCGTGAAAATGGCCATACTGCCCAAGGTAATTTACAGATTCAATGCCATCCCCAGCAAGCTACCAATGACTTTCTTCATAGAATTGGAAAAAACTACTTTAAAGTTCATATGGAACCAAAAAAGAGCCCGCATCGCCAAGTCAATCCTAAGCCAAAAGAACAAAGCTGGAGGCATCATGCTACCTGACTTCAAACTATACTACAAGGCTACAGTAACCAAAACAGCATGGTACTGGTACCAAAACAGAGTTATAGATCAATGGAACAGAACAGAGCCCTCAGAAATAACGCCGCATACCTACAACTATCTGATCTTTGACAAACCTGAGAAAAACAAGCAATGGGGAAAGGATTCCCTATTTAATAAATGGTGCTGGGAAAACTGGCTAGCCATATGTAGAAAGCTGAAACTGGATCCCTTCCTTACACCTTATACAAAAATCAATTCAAGATGGATTAAAGATTTAAACGTTAGACCGAAAACCATAAAAACCCTAGAAGAAAACCTAGGCATTACCATTCAGGACATAGGCATGGGCAAGGACTTCATGTCCAAAACACCAAAAGCAATGGCAACAACAGCCAAAATTGACAAATGGGATCTAATTAAACTAAAGAGCTTCTGCACAGCAAAAGAAACTACCATCAGAGTGAACAGGCAACCTACAACATGGGAGAAAATTTTTGCAACCTACTCATCTGACAAAGGGCTAATATCCAGAATCTACAATGAACTCAAACAAATTTACAAGAAAAAAACAAACAACCCCATCAAAAAGTGGGCAAAGGACATGAACAGACACTTCTCAAAAGAAGACATTTATGCAGCCAAAAAACACATGAAAAAATGCTCATCATCACTGGCCATCAGAGAAATGCAAATCAAAACCACTGCGAGATATCATCTCACACCAGTTAGAATGGCAATCATTAAAAAGTCAGGAAACAACAGCTGCTGGAGAGGATGTGGAGAAATAGGAACACTTTTACACTGTTGGTGGGACTATAAACTGGTTCAACCATTGTGGAAGTCAGTGTGGCGATTCCTCAGGGATCTAGAACTAGAAATACCATTTGACCCAGCCATCCCATTACTGGGTATATACCCAAATGACTATAAATCATGCTGCTATAAAGACACATGCACATGTATGTTTATTGCGGCATTATTCACAATAGCAAAGACTTGGAACCAACCCAAATGTCCAACAATGATAGACTGGATTAAGAAAATGTGGCACATATACACCATGGAATACTATGCAGCCATAAAAAATGATGAGTTCATGTCCTTTGTAGGGACATGGATGAAATTGGAAATCATCATTCTCAGTAAACTATCGCAAGAACAAAAAACCAAACACCGCATATTCTCACTCATAGGTGGGAATTGAACAATGAGAGCACATGGACACATGAAGGGGAATATCACACTCTGGGGACTGTGGTGGGGTGGGGGGAGCGGGGAGGGATAGCATTGGGAGATATACCTAAGGCTAGATGACGAGTTAGTGGGTGCAGCGCACCAGCATGGCACATGTATACATATGTAACTAACCTGCACAATGTGCACATGTACCCTAAAACTTAAAGTATAATTAAAAAAAAAAAAAGGTGAGAAAGAAAAAAAAAAAAAGATTGAGGGGTCATATCTGGTGAGGGTCTTCTTCCTGTGTCATAACATGGCAGAAGGCATTACATGGCAAGAGCACAGGAGAGAGAGGGGGAACAGAATGGGGCCAAATTCATCCTTTTATCAGGAACTCACTCCCACAATAACAGCATTAAGCCATTCAAGAGGGCAGATCCCTCCTGACTTAATCACCTCTTAAAGGTCCCACCTCTCAACACTGTTGCATTGGGGATTAAGTTTCAACACATGAACCTTGGGGGATACACTCAAACCATAGCACTCCTCTATCAAGAAAGAACATATGACAAAGAAAATGTCTTTTCCAGGGAGAATGGGAAATGGAAATCTGGACCTTTCTAGCCCAGAAGAGAGTAGAAGGACAAAGAGAAGCTGAAGGCAGGCAGGTCACACTGATTCGTAACATCTGTGTGTCATGGTTTCCCACCTACCAGGTAGGTTGGAGGATTAGGTTGGAAGAAATCAAAGGACATGGGTTTTGTGTGTGCCCCAGTTTCTATTTGGAATTCAGATGAGACTGCTGGGCTTGATGCCCCTTTAGCAACATGGTGTGCTGCACTGAGTAAAAATGGCAGCGCACTGTGGTGAGGAAGAAAGAGCTTTGGTTATCATTCTCAGGCATCCCTCAACTTCTGTGGCAGAAGCAGCCCCACCTGCCCTGTGGAGAAAGGGAAGGTACCTGATGATGCTTGCCAGGGAGTGAGTAGAGAGGGGAATGGTAATGTGGAAAAGGGTGGGAAGGTCACCAAATAGCCAAGGACCTCTGGGCAGCCTTGGCCTCCAAGCCCCAGGGGGTTCCTGCAGTACCAGGAAGGACTGAGGGAGAGCCCAGTCAGCAGAGAAAGACCCTGAGGCCAAGATAACATGGGGCACAAGTCCATCTGTCCGTCACCATCCTTAGTGATAGGTGGGCAGAGGTCACTGCATGCAGAGCCTGGGGAACATAAAGGACAACAAAGGGTCCAACAAATGTGTCTACAAGACATTTTTCTTCCCCACCTCCACAAGACCACGAGTGAGTCAATCCCCACTCCCAGACACTCATGCCATTTTGGAATAGGTCACAATGAAAGGGAAGAAAACTAAAACGCTAAACATATACTGGAAAGGAATTAAATTACTTATAAAAGTTGATTTATGCCAGAAGAGATGGAGCTAAATTAACGAGTCTTAATTGACTATTTAACTTAGTAACTAATTTCACTAGCTAGGTTGAGATAATGAACTAGTTAAAGCCAACACACACATAGATGTAGACACACAACACAGATCAAGTTGGACGGGGACCTGCAGAAAAGACCACTATAGAACATAGAGGGCTAAGTTTTCTCTTTAAATAAGTTTATGATCCTGTTATGCAAAGCCCATACTATATTGTAGTTGTTTACTGACACATATTCTCACATTAAACTGAAGTTTTGAGAGTCAAGACCCTGTATGTTCAACTTCTAATTCTACAATAATTCCTGGCATACAAGAAGTCCCTAAAAATATTTGCAGAATAAAGGAAGAGAAGAATTAGGGTTGCCAAGGTAGTGTGAGAATAACCACTGGGCAATCTTAATTGACATGCATAACAGCAAAATAGACTCAAGAATCCAACCAAGACAATCTACCTCTGTCTTGGCTTTTGAAGAGCTTTAGTTCTGAGTTTTCTTAGTGTCTGTTCTCCTTTATTTTTTCCTTTCTTGCTCCACCGAGGCATTAAGAAGAAAGGAAACAGAAGACTTTACCTAATGAGCTCTTCCAAATGTTTCTGAGCATCCCCTCCCCACCTCTGGATGTGTTTGTAGGCCACTGTAAAGGTACAGGAATGATGAGGGAAGCAGGCAAGCAGAATGGACTGTGAGAAACCAGGAAGTCAAAGCACACACGCATGCACACAGACAGTTAACCAACAAGTGGCCCAGTCATAACCATATGTTAATAAATACACATATGTAAATATACATACATATATATGCTGAAAAAATATATAAGGCAAGTATAAACTAGTCTACCTGAAACCCTAGACATTATTTTACCCTATGTTCTATCCAGTCTTGCTCCATAATAGGAAACAATAAGAAACACTGCTAAGTGGCCTTTAAAAATAATCTTTGTGTATTAGTCCGTTTTCACACTACTATAAAGATACTAGCCAAGACTGGGCAATTTATAAACAAAAGAGGTTTAATTGACTCACAGTTCAGCATGGCTGGGGAAGCCTCAGGAAACTTACAATTGTGGCAGAAGGGGAAGCAGCCACCTTTTTCACAAATCAAAAGGAGAGAGAAGAGCAAGCAAAGTGGGAAGGACCCCCTATAAAACCATCAGCTCTCATGAGAACTCACTCATTATCATGAGAGCAGTATGGGGGAAACCACCCCATGATAAAATCACCTCCCTCTAGGTCCCTCCCTTGACATGTGGGGACTATAGAGATTACAATTCCAGATGAGATTTGGATGGGGACTCAGAGCCAAACCATATCACTTTGTAATTGCTTATAGGAGTGCCATGATGACTTTGACCAAATTCTGCTAAAAGGAGTCTTGTAAAACAGGACCAGGGTCTCTGCAGGAATTAGAATTGGGATGAAGGGAGGAAGGGAAGACCTAGCTGAGTCACAGTGCTGTTGACTCCTGGACACCATTTTCTCCTCCTATCATCCCCCAGCTATGCTGCAGAGCAGGACATCCAAAATGTACATTTTCCAAGATCCTGGTCAGATTCTACTCAGAAGGAGCACTCACATGTGACTTGGAAGGCAGAAGAGAAGCGGTCATCACAGTGGTGCTCCTCTGGCAGTGAGGGGAACATGTGGGCTTTGGCAGATGTGCGATTTTGGGTGAGCCGCAAGAGTTCTGGAGGCAGCTGCATCTGCTGGAGACCTTACAGCCTGCTGCCTCTCTCAAAGCTAAGTCATCTCCTGTATTAAATTCCTTCCTTCTTGAAATGCCTGGAGTTGTTTCCATTTCTTTGAACATCCCTGATGCAATGGAACTTAACAGTTCATCTTATTCTATGGTGGAACAGAGAACATATTTTTAGGAAATGTTAGCAAGAGATGAGCTTTTATAAATCCCTCCCCTCCTTAACCCACCAGCAAATCCTTTTGCCTTGTCTTACAAGTCAGCTTGCATAGTCACTTCCTAATCCTGTGATGATCACTCCAGGGCAAACACCCCTAGCTCCCATCCAGTCCCCCTCATCTAACATAAGACGTAGACAGAGACTCAGCACTACAGCTTCTTCTGGGTCCCCCGCATTGCTCTCATGGTCAAAGGTCTTCTGTGGCTATATCCTCCCACCTCAGAGCTTAAACGCTCTTACCATCCAGTCCCTCCAGAGCCTGGCTGTCCCCAGCCACCTTTACAGCACTTCCCTAGCCCATCACATCTCTAGCCAGGCTGTTCTCCCTCCTTTCACCAGCACACCACATGCATCATGCCTTGCTTCCTTCGTTCAAGCTTTCCCTCCCCGAGAATGCCCAACCACATTTGCAGAGACAGCTCAAGTCTTAGCTCCTCCATGAAGACTTCTCTAACCACACAAAATTCCATCAATACCTTGCTCCTCAGAACTGAAATATTTGAGCCAAGGAGATTGCCTACAAAGTCCAGCTCAAATTGTTGACCCAGAGACTTGGGAGTTAAATGCATGGCTAGCTTTAAACTACCATCAGCCCTCTGTATCCATAGGTTCCACACCTGTGGATTCAACCAAGTGCAGATAGGAAATATTTTTTTAAAAAATTTCATCAGTACTGAACATGCACACTTTTTTCTTTGTCATTATTCCCTAAACAATATAGCATAATAACTTATTATATAACATTTACATTGTAGTAGGTATAAGTAATATAGAGATGATTTAAAGTATACGCGAGGATGTGTGTAGGTGATAAGCAAATACTGCTCCATTTTATAGCAGGGAGTTGTGTCATCTGTGGATTGTTGGTATCCAAGGAAGAGGGTCCTGATAACCACAGATATCAAGGGATGACTGCACTACCTTTTGGCACGGTTTCTTGGCAGACACTAATGGCTAAAGGCTGCTCCAGCTCCTACAGTATCTTTTCCACATGGCAACCAGCAATCTTTTTACACTGGATATCAAAGCACACACCTTCCCCGCTTGGCTTCTCCTACACCATGTCCCCAACATGAGCAACCAGTCACTCCATTTTCGCCACACTAGTCTTTTGCTCTTCCCTGAAGAAGCCATGCTTGTTCCCACCTCAAGACATTGGCATGTGCTGTTCCAACCATCTGGAAAGCTCTTCTGTTAGAACCTCACATAACTCCCTCCCCTTCACTGCATCTCACTTCTCTACTCAAATGTCAGCACCTCAGAGAAGCCTTCTCAGATAATTCTTTCTGCCATGCCTTCTCCTCAGGCTCTGTCCTCTTACTCTATTTTTCTGTATTTACGCAATACTTCTATGACGTATGTATTTGTTCAGTGGTTTATTTTTCATCACTCTAAAAATGAAGCTTTCCGAGGATGAAGAGCCCAGTGCCTCACGGACCATTATCCCCCTAACAGCAAAAACTGTGCCCAACACATAGCAGCAGCTCAGGAAAGATTTGTAGATTGAAAACATGAATGATTCTATTTTAACCCATCGGGCAATGTTTGGGATAGAGTGAGTCTTATGCTCCAGAACTCAAGTTAGGCCATATGACTAGAAAGCTTTCTGTATCTAAAAGTATGTTTCCAATAATGAATGGATGAAATCAAATTTAAAAGTTGTTTTTCTTTTTATATGGCATTATAGTCATTTTGATGTGACACTGACATCGTTCTTGTTATGTTGTTTCCCTTTTATAACACAATTTGAATAATTTTAGGACAACTCTGTAAGATTTGCAACAATTGAAGGCAAAGCCAGAAAATGTTATTTCAAGAGTCTTATGATTTGCAATCCTCACCAGAACTGTGTAATTTTGTTGTCTCTTGTGGTACAGGCATGAGGTGGAACGTGTAGTCCACCCTAGGAAGAGGAAGAGGAGCAAACATTTAAACATGCAGACACGTTAACATTGAACTGGCTATTTCTTTTATTGATATCAACACACTTTGGCTGCCCCAACATTCAGCGATACTCAGGATAGTCACAGAATTAAAGGTAGCCCAGCCTTTTCTAGCTATACCCTACTTAGTCACTTAAATATCTAAAATCCTTTTATTGTGGCTTTTCTTAGAACCAAAATACATAAATTTTCATCGTTCTGAAGCTAAAAGTGCCATATAAAATAAGGTTGAAATGCATTTAGCTCAAGTAAAATAACCAAATATAATCTCAAATAACAAACAAATGCCAACAAGAGTGGGTTTGGGGGAACAAATCTGCTTAGAAATTTTTATCCGTTTTCTCTAACTATGGAACAGGCCCAGTCCTAACAGCATGTTCCACAAACAAATAATGTCATTATTTATGACCTTTTCAACATTCTATGCATAAGAAACAGGCATAGAAAATTTTTATAAAATAAAAAATATCATCAACAATAGCCAAATGTCACCTACTTAGGACTAGAACTCACTTATGTTTTAATAAAATATCAATTTATTTGAACATTAATAAAACATAGGAGTTTGTAGAATTAAGAAGACATTGTTTAATTGTTCCATGAGTGCAATAGCAACCCATGCTATAAATAAATAACCAATTCCTCCATTCATACCAAGATGGTCAGCACATACAGGAAAGATACTACTGCCACAGATTCACTCAAATGGCCTGAGCCTGCGGGGACATGAAGGCCTCAGAGCACTTCTCCCTATACGATAACACCATCATTTATCTGTGAGTCAGCAGCATATTCAAATAATATTCATTTTATCACTGGATATTAAAATGGCTTGAATATGATAAAAAAGAATTAGTTGGATGCCACAAAGAGCAGCCAGATCTTAAGATAAAGAAGCCAAGAGCTATCAAAGGATCTAGCCTTAGTGGACTGGAAGATATTACAATCTTAGGGCCCCTCTTGAAGAAAAAGAGTACAAAATTATAAATATAGAATTGTTGTAGAAGTATATTTTATACATTATTGAGAAAAGAAATCTCAACAAATTATATACACAATTTAAGCTGATAAATTCAACACAGATCATAAAAATCCAACAGCACCATTAATGTTTTTATTAACTAAATAACTAGCATACTCCTATAATACTTTTCTTCATAACTTTGCTGGATGTTCTTTTAACCCCTCTGCATAAGACAAGAATGGTTTAATATATTCCATACAGAGAACAGAAAGATGGCTTCGTCTTCCCTCTAGCATGGTTGATAGAAAGAGGCATTAACAAATACATTCTTGGCAAGAGAGAACCTCCATTTTGACTGGGTGTTGGTAAGAACCAAATCTTCTCTTAACAATGTAACACATTTGGTGAAATTTTCACAAACCGACCCGGGGCTCCATACTAACCTTGTTTCTAACTTGTCTCTCCCCCACCACCAACACACACTTCTGGCTGGGGATGGAGAGAGTGCTGGATTCAAGATGGTGTCCACCAGACGCTCCTCAAGTTGGCATTCCCAGTTGTTTCTCCACTTGCACAGCCAGCAATACTCCATTATACATGGAAGGGACTGCAAATCACAGAAGTGTATTCCACTCCACTTGCAGCAAACATACGCCCATCTCATCTTCTCCTTGGGTCATCTCAAAATTGTCCACGGCGGCTCCAATACAGCCCAAGAGGAGGAGAAGGAAGAGAAGTTGGAGTGCAAAGACATCGTGGCCTTAATTGACTGAAGTTTAAAATGTCTTCTTTGTGAAAGTTTTAAAAATCAAATATTAACATGTCAATACATGTCTGGGGCCTCTCCCAGAGCCTTGGGAAGGGTTCCTTACCAATGACAGGCCTGATAATTACACTTGGACAGTTTCACAGTAAAGCTACATCATTCAGAAGATGAAGATTAAAGAAAGAATCCCAGAGTTGAAATAGAAGATTGGTCAGAACTGGAGAGGCAGAGTGAATCAGCACAGCCACCCTTCTCCTGCCTGCACCACAACCTGTCTCACGGGGGCTGCCCAGAAAATGTCGAGTTGTGTCAGGAACGATGAGCACCCAGACAGAGATTGTTGAAAAAAAAGCAAAGAAAAAATATGCTAAATCATGTTATATTACCATTTTGTAGGTAAAATAGTCAAATATCTATATTCTATAGGGTTTGACCTAATACTTATTATCCATATTTAGTTAATGCACCATGTGCCATATTTTTGGCACTCCTAGGCATTGTCATGGGTTGAATTGTATCCCCACAAAAAAAGATGCAATGGACTAACCCCAAATATCTCAGAATGTGACCTTATTTGGATATGAAGTCTTCAGAAGTAATCTAGTTGAGATGAGGCCATTAAGGTGGACTCTAATCCAAAATGACTGGTGTCCTTTTAAAACGGGGGGATTTGCACACAGAGACAGATGTGCACAGAGGGAAGATGATGTGAAGAGACAGAAAGAATGCCATCTGCAACCCAAGGCTACCGGAAGCTAGGAGAGAGGAATGGAACAGATCCTTCCTTCACAACCCTCAGAAGCCAACCCTGCTAACACCTAGACCTCAGACTTCTAGCCTCCAGAACTGCAGGAGAACACAATTCTGTTGTTTACGCCATGCTGTTAACAGCACTTTGTTACGACAACCCTAGGAGACTAACCTAGGCATTGACTCCTTAAAGCTTCACTATGCTCCTGTAAGGTGACTGCTGTTACTATTACATAAATTTCAGAAAACTGCAGCTCAGAGAAGCTAAGAACAGTGTCCAAGTTCACTGACATAGCAGGGGATAAAACTGGGCTTTGAACCCCAGAAGCCTGGCTCCAGGCTCACTCTTATGATCTCCATGCAGCACTAGCTCAGTGGACTTATATTTGCATTTGGTAATCATTATTACTATTTTTTGAGATGGAGTCTTGCTATGTCACCCAGGCTGGAGTGCAGTGGTGTGATCTCAGCTCATTGCAACCTCCACCTCCAGGGTTCAAGCAATTCTCCTGTCTCAGCCTCTTGAGCACCTGAGATTACAGGTGTGCACCACCCTGCCTGGCTAATTTTTGTATTTTGAGTAGAGACAGGGTTTTGCCATGTTGGCCAGGCTGGTCTCAAACTCCTGGCCTCAGGTGATCTACCAGCCTTGGCTTCCCAAAGTGCTGGGATTACAGGCGTGAGCCACTGTGCCCAGCCCAGTAATTGTTTTTAATTAGCAACATCCATGGATAATATGAAGAACATTTTTAAGGCCCTGAAAACCACTTATTCTCTGAAATACTATTTTTAAAATATCCACTACAATCCTGTTTGCAAGACAGGAAGTTTGCCTCAACTAAGGATAATTGGCACCAAAATGGGAATGGTGCCAATTCACTTAAAGTGAATACAGAGAGAGACCAAAATGGGAAGAGATAGTTTCTAAAACTTCATTTTGGGTGAAAACTAAGAAATAATGCATTAATTCTCAGGATGAACAAAAACAAACATTTGAGAAACAGGTAAATTGTACTAAATTTCTAATAAAGTTATCTAATGCCCTTTATTTCATGTTTGATTTTCATAGCTTGATTATAAAGAAGGTCATTTTACCAAAAAAAATTAATGAGTCATTAATTTTTCCAGTGGCATCTCTTATTCTTTGGAGATTCATAATTTTCATTTTGGAGAATCCATCTACTTTTCATCCATATTAAGTTTTTCTTCTTTAGTTCTCAAGTAGGTTAACTCTCCTGGAATCTCATTTGTAAATGACTTTGGGTAGTAATGCTTTGAGCTGTTCTCCAACCTCACTTCCATGGACTTTATGAAATCCCACCTCTTTCACAAGAATTGCAGTTTCCCTTTGTAGTTGAAACACATTGTGCTGTCAGGAGTTTAAACTTGGTGAGTTCAGAGGGACTATGGACCAGAAAGACACCAAGCTCACAAAACACACAGATGAGATGGATGTAAGTAGGTGTTATATGATGTGTACCAGATGCTGAAATGGGGACTGACATTATGTATTATTGCAAAATATGGTTTCCTGGGGAACTTCAAATGTGAGGGATTCTGATAATCAAAACAAAAAATGAGAGGCCTCCCATGTCTTTGCTTAGAACATCATTTCCCAAAGTATATTCCAGTGAACTATAATTCCTGGAGATGTGATTAGTAGGGATAAGTAGGAAGTACATGTAAGTTATGGTTAAGCACTTCTGGGAAACACAGAGTTAAACACAGATCAATGAATTTGAATGCTTTGAGAATTCCTTGAGACTATAATGTACTAATAATGTGCATTTTGAATTTCTAAGAGCTACATACAATATGTAATGTTTCCCAAATGCGTAAATTTGTTTAAAACTGTCTTCTCTAGCATTGGATAGGGTAAGTGTTCAGGAGAGCATATTTTAGAAGACGGTGACTTAGAAAACCCCTTTCTGTATATCTGACACAAGATTATACTTTAGTAAACTTAAGGTGAATGATCATAAACTCTACTCTAGGATGTCCAAATTAGTATGACTTCATTCTTTTAAACAACAATGCCCAGAGCTCAGCTTCAAATTGTTTTGAGATTAGGACCATGGAATATCACAGGAAAAGCACTAGACTAAAAGGAGAATTTACATAGTCCTCATGACTTGGGGGCCTTAGCTTCTCATTAGCCAATGTGGTAGGGTGGTGAATCCCTAAGGCTCCTTGCAGCACATAGAAACAGAAATAATAGAAAAAAAAAAAAGATTCAGAGTGGCAGAGAATGCTAAGGACAGGTAGGGGAGGACCCCATCGATGCTGGTGCCTTTAAAACCAATCATTTCAGAAGTCATAGAACAGAAAGCACAAGATTTCTTTCCTTTTGTAATGCCTGGACAAGTTTGTAATAGCATAGAGGCCACCAATAGGCTGATTTCTTTGCAAAGGAATTCGCCTATTTTAAGGGATTTTTTTTTAAGTTGATCAAGCCTTAGGCAAGGGTAGACACAGAATTGAAGAAGGGAGAAGAGGTGCTACCAAGAAGGATGGTGGAGGATGTCAAGCCCACGACTGAGGAGTAAAGCAGCTGAGAAACAAAGTAATGCTGGTGAAACTGCTCAAGTCTATGGGAACCAACAGCAAATTAAACAACATAGCAAAATGATCTAGTCATTTACTCACTCACGCCACAGTGAGCAGAGAGGTTCCATGTTAGCATCATGTTAGTAAAGAGCCATTAAATTTAAAACTTCACATCCCTCTTTTTTTTTTTTTTACCTGTTATTTACCATTTCTACCCTGCTCACATCCTCAAGGTGAAGTGAGTAGTCTTAAATTATTAAGTCATATAGAAAAATTCAGGGTAAAAGATCAAAACCAATTAAGAGGCAGGCATCTGGGTTTAATTAGTCACTGCAACTGAGCAGATCAGCAGGCTTACTATCAGCTAGCACTGGCTTCCTAGTAAAAGGAAGTATCTAAGTTCATCGAAATGAGATTAATTTATTTTCCAGGTACTATATTCCAAGAAGACTCTATTGCTGGTGTGTTTATATAAAAAGTGATAGACAAGGAAAGTCTTCATCTCTAATGTTGGTCCCACTCCACACCTTTCATTTCTCCTTCAGCCCGAACTCCGCATCAAGGCCCCTCACAAAGGTTGCCGTCACCTGGTATTTACCTATCCCATTCTGCAGATTCTCCAGAAAAGAGTTACAGGTTAAAGAAGCCTCCAGCTTCTTCTGCCATCTCTCTGGAGGGTGAAATATGGGACTTAAGGTACCTTCCCCTTAGGAGAAGCAATGGATCTGGATTCTGAAACAGGTCATTACCTGGGGTGGAGAGGTGAGGGGCTGAAGCTTCAAGCTGGCTCTGGTCTAGGCTCTGACAATCGAGGTGTCTGGATCACCCAGAGAGATTCAATATGAGAGGAAAACAGTCTTGGATTTAGGCCTGTTCTCTTTCTTGCATTGTATCTCTCAGTAACTTAATGCTGCTAGGTTGCAGGAGCTGTACGCTTTTGCTAAAGAGTCACATGAATATGAATGCTAAGTCACACCACACCAAAAAAAAGTTACAAGAAAAACCTTAAGTGATCACCATCACAACACTTATAAGGAATTCTACAGGTGTCTTTCATTAACTAACCCATCTCAGGGGCTTACTATCATATCACTCCAATTTGGAAATATTTGGAAAACTGAGACAATAAAATGTGTATTTGTTAACTTGTGTGTTTTTTCTTCTCAACATCTACTCAAGGCAGGGAAAGATTTTAGAGACACTAGAAGAATAAATGAGCAAAATATTCTTTGAATTGTCCCCTTCAAATTAAAACTAAATTAAAATTAAAACAAATTAAAATTAAAACTCTGTTGACCTTTTGGCAAATTCTTAATTGTTTTTAGAGTTGACAACCCTGACAAGGGCTTCTGTATCAAGAAGTCACAGAGTCAATTAAAGAGGAATCTCTTCAGATGATTTGAATTGATAAGCTGAGGTTCTGTGAGGAATGACAGTTAAGAGCATGTTAAAGTTGTTATGAAAAAAGAGAAGAATCTCTGAGTCTTCGTTCGATGCCAGATGCAGAACTGAAGACCTTCTGAGGAAACAAAGGAGCCTGGTTCTCACCTTGATGAAATGCCAGCACAGAAGCACACCCAGTGTGATCCCCTGATGGCCAGGAGCAGTTCTCAACTCCAACACTCTTGAAATTTGGGGCCAGATAATTCTTAGGCTGGGGGAGGGGGCACTGACTGTCTTGTGCATAGTAGGATGTGGGATGTTTGGCACCTTACTACACGCCCACTATGTGTCAGTAGTACTCTACCCAGTTGTGAAAAGTAAAAATGTCAATGTCCCCTGGAGGTAGGGAGAACAACAACCCCAGTTGAGAACCACTGGCCCAAAGCTAGGGCCAAAGCCTTTTATAAAAACTGGATTTGAAATCTGCTCAAGTACTCTGACAGATTTTGGATTGCAATCCCCAGATTTCTGAGCCAAAGAAGGAAAGAAAATATTTTGGTCTGAAATGTTTAAGGTTAAGGCTTACTGCCTGGGTACCTCAATGATTTTTAAATCCCAATATGACCCCAGGATAATTTCAGATTGTCAATGGCTCTAAATTCTGATGAGCCCACCAGGCTGTTAGCTGCCATAGGTACCCGCAAGAACCACAAAAATAGTCTCTAACATGAATAGAGCTTCACATTCTACCCAGAATTTTTACATTTGTCATCTTATTTAAGTCTGCATGAGTTATTCATTTAGAATTTCCCAGTTAGGACAAAGTCTAGCTTATCTCTGAGGAATCTTGGCCAGCCACGATAATTTTAGCTTTCACATAGTAGATACTTTCTGATGATAATCAGGAAAAGAGCTCATTCGTGTTTTATGGCCATTCCGGTAGGTGATACTAAGATTATGCCATCAACATGGAAGTGGATGAATATCTCCCTAGTTGCTATGACAGGCAGAGAAACATCCAAATTATCTAATTGTCACACGGTTACTCAAATACACATTTAATAGAAGAATGGCATTGTTTCACACCACTTAGACTGGATTTTGATCTGACAAAAGACATTTCTTTCCCCCTTAGATTTTGATAATAGTATTGCAAGTTGGACTTTGAGAAACACTAATAGCCTGAGTTACGTGATGAAGTGTCAGAGACTGGCCCATAAAAAAAAAAAAATTCTGCCTACATATTAAAGACCAGCAAAACAAAAATAAGCATTGAGAAAAGTTCCGTGTTGTTCTCATTTTATCAGCAGCCTGAGAATACAGCAATGATCAGTGTTAAACTAGTTTTGCATAAAATCTAAACTGTTTTAGGATTAGGTTAAACTCAAGGCTACAATTTACATAAATGTCCCACAGAGTGCTGACTCTGTAATTTATGTGCAATTGAGATTCTCCCCATCCAATCCTGAGAGAAAAATACCTGAAGAGTTAATTTAGCAAAGATTGAGGCCCATGCCTCAGGGGAGGCTCTAAACTCTGTGGGACAGAAAGAAAGAACCTCCTGGGACACTTTTAAGGTGAAAGAAGGGCTTTTAACATGCAGCTGGTTTACTGCATTCCAGATAATAAGAGGCCAGAAATATGTAACACACAGCAGGACTCCTGTAGAGAAGTCCAGTATAATTAGTCATCTGATCGTCAACAAAGATTTAGGCTCCTGCAATTACAGAATCCATTGCTTGGGTGGTAATGTCCCCAAATCTGCATTTGGTATTGTTTCTGACAAGCAAACTCAAAGACTCCCTCCCAAATCTATTATAACCTGATTTTTGAAAAGGATAAGTTGCTTATAAAAACATTTGAACTTAATAAGTTTACATATGACTCATCTGGGTTCCGACTGCAGTATTATCTTGATAGCACCGCCAGGCTGCATGGTTTACGGGCAAGCTTTATCCAGCAGGGAGACAGATGGGCCCATTCACTGCCCAGAAATGGAGTCTTCCAGGCCAGTGGTTCTGAAGGTGGCTCTGAGCACATGCTAACTCTATCAGAAGCATCTGAGTACCTGCTGAAAATGCAGATTCCAGGCTCCCACCCCAGACCTACTGAACTTGAATTTTGGGGAGAGAAGTCCCTGGAATCTGGATTTTAACAACCATCTAAATGTGATTCTTTTTTTTTTTTTTTTTTTTTTTTTGAGACGGAGTCTTGCTCTGTTGCCCAGGCTGGAGTGCAGTGGTGCGATCTTGGCTCACTGCAAGTTCCACCTCCCGGGTTCAGGCCATTCTCCTGCCTCAGCCTCCTGTGTAGCTGGGACTACAGGTGCCTGCCACCACGCCCGGCTAATTTTTTGTATTTTTAGTAGAGACGGGGTTTCACCGTGTTAGCCAGGATGGTCTTGATCTCCTGACCTCATGATCCGCCCACCTCGGCTTCCCAAAGTGCTGGGATTACAGATGTGAGCCACTGCACCCGGCCCTAAAAGTGATTCTTGAGAGCACTAGAGTCAGACTAGAGTCTGACTCTCCAAAGAGTGAGATGAAATTCGAAGAAAACAGGTCCCATCTTAATGTCCTTGTGTGCATAGCGTCAGCTCTTTGGTTGCATGTTTGGTCAATCATGGTGACTTCATAACAGATTTGGTTTAAGAGGTGAGTGCTTAATTTAAAACCCAGATGTCTACAGCCCCTTCCTGGTTCCCACACTCTACCACAACTCACCTTACCTTACACCTTATTTGAGGCACACCCAGTGTGATCCCCTTCAAATCCATGCACATGTACACACACACATACACACTTATAAAAGGCAATAAAAATGCGTACCTGGCACCCTTCTCTGATAGACCTGTGCTGTGACTCCTCTAGAGATGTTGGTCTGACCCTTTGAATAGATGTTGCATTTGCTAGAGAAAACCTGGCTCCTTGCCTCTTCTCCCCACTTTCCGGTTGTAATAATTATTTCCTTGTTGAAAGAGGCTCTCCATTCCCCCATGAAAGGCTTACAGAAAATACTCACCGTAAGTATTTGAATTAGTCCTGCCCTTATACATGAACTTATATATTCTGATAAATAAGTAGCAGCTTATCTTTTATCCTTCTTATTGACCATCCTACAATCTACAGGTACTGTCATCAAATAGCAAGAACTATAATAAAAAGTAGGAAAAACCTTTGTGAAAAGAAAACGTGCACAAGGAATGAAAAGAGCTTAACGTCTGCTTATTACTCAATCTTTACATCATATCAATGTAACATAATGTCATTTGATTAAAGGACAACACATTTTTTCTAGAAAAAGAGTAAGACTTTAGAAATGTCTACTTAAAACAGTGATTTTAAATCAGATCTTTTTTGAGAAAGAAATGCAGTGTATCAAAATCTCACTAATTTCAGCCAGTTGGCAAACCATTAAGTGTCCACTTTCTATCATACAAATTGAACACTATCTCTGACTTCCAGGGGACTCCCAAACTAAGATTGTGTTGTAGATTATCAGAGTCTTCCATGAGCCTTACAAGGTTAAAAAATAGAACACCAACATATTCCACAGCTTCTTAGTACATGAACATGGCTATGAGATAGAGCAGGGCAGAGCTCCCTATGGATCTATGGATGTGTGCAAGGGCAGAACCCACAGTGCAAGGCAGTCTGTCCCTGGGAGTCCTCTGCCACACCCAGCACAGCTGACAACTGCCACAGAATGATACAAGACCCTCACCTTACAAAATTCTATTTGTAAAAGGAGGACTGTCAAATTCATTTGGAAAACACAATCACCTACAGATTCATGAAAACATTTGCTCTATCAAGACTCTGAAAATTCATACAGTAAAGACAAGGCTAACCTTGTTTGAGGTGGCATTCCTCCAACTTATTTGATCCTGGAACTTTTTTCTAATCACGCCTATTCCCCTCCCATGGACCCACAGTTCTGCAGGGCACAATTTTAGGCAATTCCATCAGCCCTAGGAGTGTCTGAGGTCCATGGCGGCTACACAGAATGCTATCGCCACTGCATGCTGCCAGAAAGTCTGGGCTCCCTCAGCCAACAAGAGCTGTAATTGAGTCTCCAGACCACGGGGAGCTTTTCTGGGTGGTGAGGGGAGACTTGGAGAAGTGTCAGGTTGGCTTCCAAGGTGATAGAGTTTGGATGTGTGTCCTCACCCAAATCTCATGTTGAACTGTAATCCCCAGTGCTGGAGGTGGGGCCTGGTAGGTGTTTGGGTCATGGAGGTGGATCCCTCATGGCTTAGTCCTGTCTTCAAGACAGTCAGTAAGTGAGTGAGTGAGTTCGTGTGAGATCTGGTCCTTTAAAAGTGTATGGTACCTCCCCCCGCCACTCTCTCTTGTTCCTGCTCTGGCCATGTGATGTGTCTTCTCCCACTTCACCTTCTGCCATGAGTAAAAGCTCCCTGACACCTCCCCAGAAACAAATGCTGGCACTATGCTTCCTGTACAACCTGCAGAACTGTGAGCCAATTAAACCTCTTTCATAAATTACCCGGTCTCAGGTATTTCTTTACAGCAATGCAAGAATGACCTAATACACAAGGTATTCCAAATCCAGCTAGGTAGCACAGGTAGAGAGGAAGAAAGGTAGACATAAGTAACAATATAAAACAATATAATAAGAATGCATGGATGCTGTGGACATATTTCTCAGAGGAAGAGAGGCAAGTGAATTTACAGTGGACTCCAGTGTCCACAGAAAGCCACAGAAAGTGGGTGGGGCTGGTACTGCACTGAACCAATGAGTAGGGCAGAGAATGATATCAAGCAACAAGCATATTCTAGGATTTACTAAATGGAAGGCTTGTGGGGTTAGAGGAAAAGGGAAGAGAAAATTTGAATGCTGAGCTTTTGAACACAGAAAGTGGGGGCATGCTGAGTGTCCCACCAGAATTAATAAAGCCAGAGCAGAAGCATCAAGTACAGTAGGCCCTCGGTACCCACGGGGGATTGGTCCCAGAATCCCTCTCTGATACCAAAGTCATAGGATGCTCCAATCCCTTATAAAAAGTGGCATAGCATTTGCATATAACCTATGCACATCCTCCTGTATACTTGAAATCACCTCTAGATTACTTGTGATACCTAATACAGTGCCTACACATCACTTCATTCATGCGGAGTCAAACACAGTATGCAGCACATGGCAAATTCAAGTTTTGCTTTTTGGAATTTTGTGGATTTTTTTCCTGAATATTTTTAACCCATGGTTTGTTGAATCCATGGGTGCAGAACTCATGCCAGCTGTACTGTCTTGGTGGTGCTTTGATGAATTGGAGAAAAAAGCAGTACAACTGTAGTGAATATCTGCTGTTTTTGTCCATCAGGATCCATTCACCCATCTTTTCATAAAACAATGTCCAGATTTTAAAGCTATGCCATGTAGGGGAATTAATTCACCTCTAAAGCTACTGGCAGAAGTTCTCTCTCTCCACTCATGGCAGGGCAGAAAAAGCAGCAGCATGAGTACTTTCAGCTTCTGGCCATCAGTCCAATCCCAACAAACATAGAAGAAACAGATGAGAAAACCCAGGGCCTTGGATATATCATGGGAGCACCTGGGTCAACCGTACCTGAAGCTGTTTATTCTGGATATTTCAGCTAATGAACTCCTTTATCATTTCAAGCGGTTTAATCTGTGGGGTTTTTATAATTGCAAACACACACAAACACAATTGACAGAATATCCAAATGTTATAAACTGATAGGCTGGCCTGAGAGTAAGAGTTTGGGAAATCAGCTCAAAAAGGTGACAGATGAAACCACAGAAGCAAAGAGGTCCAGGGAGAAAGGACAGAGAGAAAATGAGAGAACCAAGGCTGAGATCATAGGAATCATCACAGGTGGGCAAAACTTGAGGAGCAGGTGAGCCAAAAAGAAAACGGACAGGCAGGTGACATGATTTGGATGTTTCTCCCCTCCAAACTTCATGCTGAAATATGATTCCGAATGTTGAAGGTGGGGCCTGATGGGAGGTGACTGAATTATGGGGGAAATTCCTCAGGAATGGTTTAGCACCCTCCCCTTGATGACAAGTGAGTTCTCACTCAGTTCACAGGAGATCTGGTTGTTGAAGAGAGTCTGAGACATCCTCCCTCTCTCTCTCTTGCTCCAGCTCTCACCATGTGACACACTAGCTACCCCTCACCTTCCGCCATGATTGTAAGTTTCCTGTGGCCTCACCAGAAGCAGATGCCAGCACCATACTTCCTGTACAGCCAGAAGAACCATGAGCCAATTAAACCTCTTTTCTTTATAAATTACCCAGTTTTAGGTATTCCTTTATAGCAATGCAAGATGTACTAACATGGAAAATAAGAGGAAGCCCAGAAAGTAAAGTATCAAAATCCCCAGGACATAGGTAAAGAGAAGAGTCAAGCTTTCTAATTTTTCAAACACTATTATCTGTTGTTCACTTGTTCCATGCCAGACGGTGTTCTGGCCACCGTATATTCAAGAAATCCTTCAATCCTCTCACTCTTACTATGAGGTGGATATTATCATTGTCATTGTATAGATGAGGAAGCTGAAGCACAGCAGTTAATGAACTTGCCTATAGTCACCCAGCTAGTAAATGGCAGAACTAGAATTTGGCTCTGGTATTCTGCCTCTAGAATTCACTTTGCTAACCAGTAAACTCTACACTTCTCAACCCTCTGCATCTTTCTGGAACTGCTGCTAAGCATGCAAGTAAGGATTCATTTAACCAAAAATTTATCTTCTACATTCAGTCTGACTTGGATATCAGACTGAACGTCCAATGTAGACGTACACACATTGTATATTATTCTCTTTTTATGGTACTCTGTTAAGATGAAAATAGACTAGGGGCAGATAGCTTATTTAGTCATTCACATTTTAGCATGAATTAGTTTGATTTAAAATTGTTTCCTTATACCAATGGAGGAACCTGGGCTCATATAGAAGTGTATGAGATGCTATACTCGGAATAGCTCAGAGAAGAGAGGATTAAGAACAAACTTTTCCCCTTCACAAATCTCTTGTGAATCAAGACATTCTTTTCTCTTATCCAGTTTCTATTACCTGAAGTATACGACTGCATGCTTCACTGGGCACAGGTTAAGAGATCAGCATAAAGGTCAGCCTTTCTCTCCATGAGCCCAACCCCACAAGGCACTTATAGAAGGACAATCTTTGGTGTTTATTATAAATGCACATCTGTCTCACCTGGGATGAAGCGTTCTAGTAACATCAAAAATTAGTATGGCTATTATGGAAAATGGCATGGAAGTTTCTTAGAAAACTAAAAATAGAATTACCATGTGATCCTGCAATCCCACTTCTGGTTATATATCAAAAGGAATATGTACCCTTTGGTATGTCAAAGAGCTACCTGCACTCCTGTGTTCATTGCAACACTATTGACAATAGCCAAGTTAGGAATCAAACTAAAGTGTCTATCAACAGATAAATGGAAAAAGAAAATATGGTATACACACACAATGGAATACTATTCAGCCTTTAAAAAGAACAAAGTTCTATCGTTGGCAACAACATGGATAGAATTAGAGATCATTACGCTGCATGAAATAAGCCAGGTACAGAAAGACAAATATCTCATGTTTTCACTCAAATGTAGAATCTAAAACAATTGAATTCATAGAATCAGAGAGCAGAATGGTGGTTACAGAGACTGGGGGCTGGGGAATGTGGAGATGAAGGTCAAAGGGTACAAAGTCTCAGCTATGGGGGTATGGATTTTTTCTTTTTTGAGTCTACTGCAATGCATGGTGCATTTACTTAATCATAGAGTATTGTACATTTCAAAACTGCTAGGACAGTACATTTCAAATGTTCTCACCACAAAAACTTTCCAGTTTTTGAGGTGATGGATATGTTAAATAGCTTTATTTAACTATTCCACATTGTATGCATAAATTATAATATCACTTTGTACCTCACAAATTTATACAATTATAAATTGTCAATTTATAATAAATAAAGTTTATAAAATGAAGGAAAAAAATAAAAAATAAAAACTTCATGGGGTCGACTTTCCAAGTAAAATACCAATGGTAGAAAATATGCAGGAAAATAAATACTAATTGATTTTACTAATTTAAAAACCGTAAGATGTCAACACAGACTATGAACTAAGTTAGCTAAGTTTGTTTGTTTTGGGGATTTTTTGTTTTTTTTTTTGTTTTTTTTTTTGTTTTTTTTTTGAGACAGAGTCTTGCTCTGTCACCAGCTGGAGTGCAGTGGTGCGATCCTGGCTCACTGCAAACTTCACCTCCCATATTCAAGCAATTCTTCCGCCTCAGCCTCCCAAGTGCCTGGGACTACAGGCATGCACCACCATGCCTGGCTAATTTTTGTATTTTTAGTAGAGATAGGGTTTCATCATATTGGCCAGGCTGGTCTTGAACTCCTGACCTCGTGATCTGCCCACCTCGGCCTCCCAAAGTGCTGGGATTACAGGCTTGAGCCACTGCACACAGCTTGTTTGGTTTTTTTTTAAGCAAGCAACCAGTTAGGAAAAAAAATATCTTCAACCTACATTCCTGGAGCCTCCATCTACCCAGTCTATCCCTGGCCAAGTCCTGTCTCTCCAACATCTTCTCACACATCACTGCCTGTGGGAAGCCTCAGGATAAGCCCAATAGTCTACATAGCCCTGTAATACTCTTGATTGCAGGTTTTCATCATTTATTTCATATCCATTTTCCTGCCTGAACTTTATATCCACCAAGGCAAGGATGGGAACTGTCTCGTTCACCATCAGCTGTTACCTCTGGGACTTGGGTGCGAAACTAGCTCTCATGAATTAATAAGTAAAAGTAAAGGATTGCTACTGTATGAACAATCTTACAAGTCAACAATAAAGAGGGAAACACTCCAATAGAAAAATGGGCAAAATGAGTATGTATGTAAAAATAAATGTAAAATAAAATCATGACATCATTTTTCAACCATTTTCCCTCTCCTTTAAATTCAAAAACAAAATAAAATCAAAGGAAAACTAACACATACCTCCCTTAGATGTGGGGAACGGCCACTCTCATAGGCTGCTACAACCTTTCAGCTGGGCACCTTAGCTCTATGTATTGGCTTCTTTAAAATGTGCCTGCCCTTTAGCTCAGCGATTTTGCTTTTAGGAATATGTCCTAAGAATATACATAAATATTAATCTATGGAACAATCAGTGCATCATTGTGTACAACAGCAAAGAGAAATCTAAGCAATAATAGCGGATTAGTTAAATTATGCACATGAGTAAAATAGAATGATATGCAGCATTCTTAGTGAACATTTATTGATCCTTGTATGGGCCAGACACTGCTCTAAGTATGTAGCATGCAGTGTCTGACTTAATCCTCAGAACACTTTA
The DNA here is from genome assembly GCF_000001405.40 of Homo sapiens. Taxonomy (NCBI): domain Eukaryota; kingdom Metazoa; phylum Chordata; class Mammalia; order Primates; family Hominidae; genus Homo; species Homo sapiens. The sequence goes on from NC_000006.12 coordinate 156,388,110, forward strand.
TAAAGTAGGCATTACTATTACAGCCATTTTCCATGGAGGGAAATTATGATTTAGAGAGATAAAGTAACTTGCTCAAGGTTGCACAGCTAGGAAGTGGCTGAACCAGAGGCAGTCCCCAAGGCCAGGCCCTAGGTCACAAAGCTATCTGCCCCCATGTTAAAGATGTCCAATGTACATTTAGTGGCATGGAAAGGAGTTCCCATGTTCCTTATAGGTTCACTTAAAAGATAGATTACAAGATCATATATAGTACACAATCACCTTTTTGTAAAATACATATTATACTAAAATGCATGTTTTTACATTTATGTGCTCACATGCATATCTGTGTCTTTATCTTTGCACAAGGACTAAAAGAAAGAATTCACATCTAAAGGTTCTCTGGGAGGCAGGGTCGTGGGATAATGGGGTTTTTCTTTTCTTTTTGCTTACTCCAATGTTTCACGGTTTTCTAGAATGAGAATAGGTCACTTGTATGATACTTTTAAAAATGTTTTCAGTTGACCTCCAAGTAGCCTAGAACTTCAGAGGTCCTTATATATTACCCAATCTAATCTTCTTCCTAGCAAGAAGATGCAAGCCTAGAGAAACCAAGCAAGTGCCTCCCAGTGTCTTGGCTAACTAATACCAGAGCCAGGATTGTGACCGGGCTGCCTATCCCCGACCCCAGGCTCTTAGAACCACCTCCACCCCAGGAAGGCATCTGACTGTGCTCACCTGCACAGTGAAGAAAAACACAACTTGGACACTCACTCATTGGACACTCACTCATCCTTCTGAGCATTCAGCCACCTACCTTCACTCGCTATAACTAGCATCCTGAGTGACACCCTGCTGCCCTACAAAACAACGATGCCCTGGGAGATGAAATGCCTGAAGAGCATGACACTGCAGCCTCCAACCAGCTCCGGATCATTCTTCCTAGACCAATGACTCTGAACAGAGAAATCTATCAGCATCCCCCGGCAACATCTTCTGAAGATGAGGCCTGCATGGAGATTCTGACTCAGTGGGCATAGAGAGGGGCCTACGTCAGAACATACTGAAAAATGTTTCCGTGCGAAACTAATGTACATCCCCAATTAAGGAACCCTGGTCTATATAAATCTTCAAGTGTCAGTGTCTTAACTGGGAACTAGACACAGTTGTTTTCATCCTAATTTAAAACTCTGTCTGCTGTTAGGAAGAACAGACGCATCCCTCTCTGCCAGAAGCCTTGACGTGGATGAGGCTTTCTTTTTAGTTGTTTCTCATCCTCAGGAGAACATTGAGAAGGGCGAAGGGGGTGTTGGCTCACTCCCCCACGTTGCTCCAATACATCTGGCCGAACCCCCAGTCAGGCCATTGAGAACCCAAAGCTGGTCAGCAGTGTGTAGGAACAGGGCAGACCTGACAGCAGCTCGAGAGCCAGCACTGGGGACCAAGGCGTGGTCCACAAGGGAGGCCTCACCGGCCGTGAGCGTTCCAAGCATCCACAAGGTTACAGCAGACATCAGAGCTCCAGAAGGAGCTTAGAACATCAACTCACTCTTAGCATCCATCACCAGCAGCAGTGGAAGCAATTCAGAAGCAAACCTTCTCCAGAAACAAGATGAGGCTGGTCTTCTCTGCTTCCTCTTTAAAAAATGAAACTTGAAGGGGGCAAGAGCTATGATGTCCTCCAGGCTTTTGCTTTCTACCTCCCTCTTCCTGTCATGAAGGATTGGTGGTACGGGAATATTTCCACATTCTGTTAACACGGAGGAGAGAGAAGGGACTCTGATTCCGCCAGCCATCACTGCTAAAACAGGGCTTGAGGGTTGGGGACACCAGCGTCCTTCTCACTGAAGTAGCAATGTTGAAAGAAAACAGAAAGATGGCCCCATTGGAAAAAGAACAGAAAACGTTTACAATGAAGTGGGATGTAAAGGTAGAAAGTAGAAGGAAAGAAACACAAGAAAATTAAAATGCGCTTGTAAAACTGTGAACTACATTATGCTATATTACCAGTAATTTCAGTGACTGCTCACTTAGGAACGCTTTTCTTTTAAAAGAAAAACAGAGCCAGCTCTTTCTTAGTTGAATAACAACAGAGAGAATCTTAAAGTCTGGATTGCGTTTCTTGGTTTTTAACATTGTTTACATTTGTTATTTGTATATATTAATACATAAGTAGATTTTAAATAAATCCTACCTGGGAATCATTTTTAGAAATTTTGGGTTTTTTTTTTTTTTTTTTTTTGACAGTTCCATATTTAGCTAGACTATTGAACTCAGTAAAATGTAGGGCTACGTTATGATTGTAAAGAACATTACAGCTGAAAACTCAAAATAATAAGTGTTTTGTTTAAAATTACAGCCAATTCTTCTGACATACGAAGTGATAGTGGTTCCCCAGCTAAAAGAACGTGCTGGCCTTGCTTATGAATATACACAATTTGGATGATATTTTTACATCCTTACTAACTTCATAGTACCGGGGACAGCTACAGCTAGGGCTACCTTAATCTCTAGTGGAGCACAAAGAATGCAACCTCAAGCCGGGGGCAGGTTTCAACTCCCCTTGCATATCCAGGCTGAATATTCCCCGTTCTACACAACTTCCACAAAACAGCTTGAGCCACCCCCTTGGGCAGAGACCTAAGCTCTCCTCCTCTTCTCCTTCTGATAAAATCTCCTTTGACATCCAAGGAAGTGCAAACCCATCTCAGCCTTTCTCTGACTCAAGGCTTCTATTTCTCAGCTAGAAAGCATTTGCCTCAGGGATTATATTAAGACAGCAAATGTTGTGGGAAGAACATCAGCCATAAAGGCAGAAGGCAAAGGTTCAAGTCACAATGAAGTCGCTTCCTTCCATGTAGGACACAAAGCCTCTCTGAGCCATGATCTGTCCCTCATAGGCAGGGAGAATCCACTCTGTGTTGGGTACAAAGCCAATCGATGCCAAAGCACTCCCCACACTGCACGGTGCCTCCAAATACAAATGAGGAGCGGAGAAACGAAGACGGACATCAGCTCTGTGCTATGCCAGCATTCCCTCCGGTCCACAGCCTTGTCCCCCAGGCAGTGAATCTCTCTCCCTGTGCAAGCAGGCCCAGGCACACGCTTCTCAGCAGGTCCTGAGATCCTCCACAGGAAACGCGAAGCAGGCTGGTTTCCTGGCTGCCCACCTGGAGGCCTTGCAAGCTAGCCTTGTTCTGCCAACGACTATGTGCCGACCCCCAGACAGCATCCACTGAGGTTTTCTCTGTCTAACATCTGCCAGTTAGTGGTGCTCCTGTTTTATGGATCTTCATTCACTGTAATCTTTGCTTGCTGCAGCAGGGGCTGGTTTAGCCCTAAGAGAGGGCTCTGCAACAACAGTGTTAAACAAATAGCACCAGGCCTGGTATTTTTAGATATGTTAAAATTCTCTCTAAGCGCAGTGTGAGGGCCTGAAAAACTCAGGCTGTTTCCTATGGCTGGGCGAATACTGATAAGAGCTTTATCCAATTTATAAGGCAAGAGAAGGAAATAATCATGTGTGATGGAATTGGACAAATAATCCAGTTCCAAACAATTATGAAACATAATGTAATTACTGAAGACTGTGTCAGGGTCTGGCAGTATCAGATTTTTCTCTTTCATGAATCAACAATAATCTAAAATTTTGATTCTTCCAGGCCTCATGAATCACCAAAAACTGTAGGCAACTAAAAATCAAGATAAAATCAATATACACACACGTGTATGGCACAGATACCTTTTCTTTTACATTTTTGGGAAATGATTTCACAGTGCTCCACAGACACACCCCTGCATACCCCACCAGGTAGGAGAAAGCACTTCAGTTAATGCCAACACCCCCCTCCAAATCCAATTCTGCATAACAGGGAGAGAAACTCATATTCTAGTTATGATTTCTTAGAGAGATGGGGAAGAAGTTTCATTACAGAAATCACACTGCAGAAATGGACGAAATCCCTCAAAGGGATTTCCAATTCTCTGCCCAGAAGTCTCCTCTCTGGCCACCACCTCCACCTTCCCCCACTCACCATCCACTGCTATTCAGAGCAGGCTGACGCTCCTCAACTTCCGACTTTTGTAACTGAAATCAAGACTTCTTCCTACCTGTAATGTCTGTTTATGAGATGAGGCCCTGACTGCAGAGATCAAAGGTGAGGTGAGGTGGATGTTTGAGGCAGAATTCTTCGTGCTGCTGGGCTATAGTCTGGACTGTGGTTTGGGAAAATAAGGGAAGCATCAGAGGAGGCTGAGGATTATAGAAAGGAAAGGAAGAAAGGGGTTGAGAGGAGGTCTGCTCCTTTCAAGGCATAGACCTACCTCCTCACCTAACCCTGGATCCTCACTTACATCTTAAGAAAGCCACTAAGTCACATGGAAAAAGACTAGGAATTACGGGTATGAACTGCAGTTCAGTTTGGTTTTCATCCATTTGATATCTCCCCATTTCCCACCAACAACTCAGGAAGACTCAGGTACATACCTATCATCTTCTCAGGTGCCTCCTCCAAATAGAGCTTCTCTTCCCTCCCCCCTTCCCGGTGTCTAGTGTCTCTAGTGTCAGGTGACTTTCCAGGTCCCCAGAGGAGACAGCAAGACATTGAGGGGGACCAGTGGCTCCGAATCTGAGGTGCTTACTCCTTCCTGAAACAGTTCTTTATTCTCGCCTTGAGCTTCTTCCCCACAAGCCCCACCCTCCAGGTGGGCACACCACACCACGAGCTCTATGCAGGGCTCTCATTTCACCTACAACAGAACAAAAGTTCTGACCAGACAGCTGTGCTCACCACCACCTCCTCCGCAGCAGGCTCCCACCATGCAGCCTTCACAGGGCTGGTCACATAAACCACCCTTCACACTGCTGCCAGGGCAACCTCTCTAAGATTAAAACCTCTCCATGCTCACTCTCTCTCTCTCCCTCCCTTTCTCTCCCTCCCTCCCTCCCTCCCTCTCTCTCTCTCTCTCTCTCTCTCTCTCTCACACACACACACACACATCTGCATTTCTGCTTAAATGCCTTTAGTTCAAAATTTCCTTTTGCTTTTAGAGGAAAGCTCAAACTTTAAGTGGCTTGCAAAGCCCTTCGTGATTTGGCCTCTCCCTTTAACACCCTCTCCACACTCCAGCCCCTTGGAGCTTTCTTAAGTTCCTTGAGTAACTAAACTCTTTCTTGCCTCAGATCCTTGCATATGCTGACCTCCTCCTCCTCCTCCTTCACTCTGTAAAGAACTAGTTCTTACCAACCTTCAGTCATCACTTCAACACTGTCTCCCCAGAGAGGCCTTCTCTGACAAGCCCATGTAAATCAGATTTCCCAAACACAAACCTATATGCAGTCATGATTCTGTGGCACAGCAACCTGTGGCTCCTAGCTTCGTGGCTCTTACTGAAATTGGAATCACTCACTTCTTTGTCCACTGTTTTATCATCCAATTAAGAAGCTTACTATGATTTCCAAGATGGCAGAGGGGATGATTCACTCACCCAGCATCAGCACCATGCATATGGTAGGTTCCCGAAATCATGACATTATCATAAGATATCATCATAACTTGTACTCCTCTTGGATCTTGCAGACAGACCAAATAGGAAATTATGCTGTATTTAGAGAACAATGGAAAAAAAAAAAAAAAAGACAGCCTGGAGATTTGTATTGAAAAGTCCTGGAAATAAATGTGCATAGATGTGGTAGACAGGCTCACAGGGTAGCTCTTAAAAGCCCAGATGATAAGTCTGGGCTTGATCTGGCTCAATGCCTGAGAGGAACAATGATATAAACTAGAGGGTATCAAGAGATTAATACTGAGTCAAGGCAGGCCACATGGAGGAGTGAAGGGCTCCGATCCTGAATTGGAGAAGAATAAGGGAAGACAGACTAATGTCTTCTCTCTCATAGGAGGAACCACCAGATCTAAAAGACAGATGTTTGTTCCTGTGGGCAAAATTGGATTCAATTGGTACAAGCTTTGCCCCAGTACAAAAATAAGCATGTTAATACCTCAAACTGTCCAATAACAATCACTGTCCAATATTACTGCATGAGGTAGTGAAGTGCTGGTGGCTAGAGGTGATGGGAAGGGGACAGAATAAGGTGGTTGGGGAGATCATTTCTATATTATCCAGCAGGAGACTGGATTTTGATGATCCTTTTCCATTGCAACACTCAAAGCTCAATGGAAAACCATCAAAAGTTTTGAGCCAAGAGTAATGTGATTTTTTTAAAATGATGTGTTATATCAGAAAGTTCTGTGAAAGGTTTTGTAAACTAAGAAGTTTTCAGTACCAAATGAAAGAATTAGAGGCACCCTGAGATATCAGAAGACCAGGATGGAGAATTATTACTCCAAATGAAATTTGATTTGACAAAAACAGTGTAAGAAAATAGCATTTGCAAGATTTGTAACAGCTATCAAAGTCTCCAAGATAAGAACTTTCCTTAGGACTAACATCTTTAATGATAAGTAGATAAAGGCTTCTACCTCAGTAATTAAAATAAGGCTCTCTTATGCCATATTTGGGATACTCAATCACAGCCGTGTTCAAGATCAAAAACTTATGGGATGTCTGATGTTTACATAGATTCCAACTAGCAGTTGAAGAGATTTCTGCACTATAAGTAATTAAAACAAGGCTCTCTTATGCCATATTTAAGTTTCTAAAGGAGACTTAAGCAACCTCTGCTACATGTAGTATGGTTGGTGTAAAAAGAAAAACACCTTATTTAAAAATGTCTAAGATGCCAGCTTCGTTTTTGACTCCCCATCACCTGAGAGTTTTTTTTTACCTGTTAAAGCATGGAGGAAAAGACAAAGTTTCACAAAGTCTGTAAAAGTCAGTTTTTTTGTTTGTTTGGTTTTCTTTTTGAGACAGAGTTTCGCTCTTGTTCCCCAGGCTGGAGTGCAATGGTGCGATCTCAGCTCACCACAACCTCCATCTCCCAGGTTCAAGAGATTCTCCTGCCTCAGCCTCCCAAGTAGCTGGGATCACAGGCACCCGCCACCAGGCCTGGCTAATTTTGTATTTTTAGTAGAGACGAGGTTTCTGCATGTTGGTCAGGCTGGTCTCAAACTCCTGACCTCAGGTGATCCACCCCCCTCTCAGCTTCCAAAAGTACTGGGATTACAGGCAGGAGCCACTGCGCCCGGCCTGAAATAGCCAGTTCTTAAAGTGCCCAGCCCTGGGCAATCACCGCATCTGTTCTATATTCTCCCTTTCCTTTTCCTTTCCTTTTCTTTGCCTGTGTGACTAGAAAAAGGGTCTCTGGAGTAAAGATGTCACCTGTGAAACTCTGGGTGGTGATTCAAACATTTGCAAACATTCTAACTGTTTTCGCTCGAGGGCGGTGGTGGTTATAGTTTCAGCTTGCCCTAAATACACATGCCCACGCCCATGTCAGCTGGTGCCTCCTCCATACACACAGGGTGGAACTTGCACCTGTTGCCAGCTGACTTAATTCTCTTTTATCATTCAAAGGAAAAACAACAAACATGTTTTCCACCATTTTCAGTTAAAGAGAATGTTTTGCCTTCTATAGGAGAAAGGGGTTGTGAGGGAGGGGAAAAATGTTTCATCAGAGCGAATCCTCTACACAGCTTCCTTTGGTCTGGCCATGACCAGGTCAGTCAAGCCAACAGAAAATGGTAAATTCACATTTATGGTGTGAACCAAGGCCATCACTAATAAAACTGTAACCTCGCTGGTGGAATACTGAAATATGTCTTGACATCTTTGCAAGAGTTGTAAAGAGAGCCTGGAAAAGAAAAGGAAAGCCCAAGCATTGTTTGCATTTTCTTTTTGCATTTCATTCAGCAAAGACTTTTTAAAAACTTAGTAGAGGGTGATACCAGATGTATTTAGTCTGCAGTATGGCCAGCCTTTAAGTACATGAAGTAATCCCGTCCAAACAGCAGCACAAGTGCCTCAGTTATCTCAGGTAACCAGTTTGGAAACAGCAAGAGGGCTTTGGGTTAAATATCAGAAAATATTCATAAGACACCATAACAACAGAAACAGAGTCGAACTAAAACTTTGTGGCAAAGCCAATATGTAAATCACAGCTGGTGATTTCTGTTAGGAACTTTGGTTTGGGAGGTTTCACAGCTTCATCTCCAAAGCCCCGATTCAAAACCACAATGTTCAGCAAGTCAGTGAGATTTCATGCTTTTATCTGAAACCCAGACCGACAAATGCATCTCTTGATGCAATTCAGGATCTCTGAATCTTCGCTAAAGAACCGAGCTAACCCATGGAACGCAATCTCAAAGCCTTGCTCTTACCCAGAGAAGCACAGTTGCCACTTAAAGGTTCAATAAAAGGAGAGGTAGGGAAATGCCTGCTGCCACAGCCCATTAGTTGCTACATTTAAACCCCTACCACAGTAACCAAATGTGATTGAGGTTTCAGAAGGAAACCTACACGGTATGAAATGTAGCAATCATTGGTCTATAAATATAGGATGTTATTCACTGTCAAGTACTTTCTCTAAAGGAGGGGTAGGGGGAATTCTTACTGCAAAGGTAGGTTGCAAAATTTTTTCACCTAGAAATAATTTAGAAACCGGCTGGGGCACAATCTCATAATGTCTCAGGTGCAAAAAGTTTCTGATGCACCGGAAACAAAAGCTGGCAAAACAAAAGCGACGTCAGTTGTCTCTCTGTTCTACCAATTGAAGCTTGGGTGTAAAAGGAGAATGTTTTTTAAATCCAGGGATTAGTGAGGGACGCTAACCCCTGAACCGGGATTACTGAGGGACAGAGAAAGAAAATGTAGAGGAGGAAAAAGGAACATTTTACAAAAGATTTCCTTCGTAACTACCTTCAGACCCCGGGGCTGCAGAAAGGAGTAGGCGGCTGCGGTGTCCTGGGCCCTGCGCGTCCACGCGTGGGAGGCGAGGCCAAGGCTGCCAGGAGGCGCTCCCGCACCCCAGGTGCGCTCCTCCAAGGAGGCCCACCCGCCTCCGCTGGCCCAGTTTTCGCTGTTTTCTCGGCGCACCACGGCGCCTGCAGTTAGTAGGCAATCCATCCCCCCGAGCTGCAGCGAGTTAAGCTGCAGGCCTTTTGTAACGGCCTCAGGTGTGAGCTGCCGCAAGCCCCCCCCACCCCCACCCCCGACCAGAGGATCACCGGCCCGGCCGAGAGGACTAGGAGCCAGGTGTGCGAGGCCGAGGGATCCACGCCGTTCCCGCCCAGCGCCCCCTGGGTTATTAGGCCTCGCTCCCCCACACAGCCCAGCTGGTAGCGAGGCCGGAATCAGGGCCCTCCGTCGGAGCTCCCACCTTTAAAAGAACGCGTCCAGAGGGCGGAGCCAGCTTAAAAGCGGGTCGAGACATTCACCTGTGGTTAGGCAAAGACACGAGAGAAATAGTTAATTCCTCAGGTGCCCCAAATCACAATAGAGCTCGGGAAGGAGGAACAACTTGACAGAGAAAAGAGGACAGGACATTGATCAGGGAAGATGTCTGCAGAGCTTGAGGTTGGGGGATTGGGTTCCAACCAGGGAAGGTAATTCTGCAAAATTGGAACACACAGGCCCTCTGTCTGTAGGCAAGTCTGACAAAGGGCACAATCCAGGAAATGGAATCGAGATGCGTCCCCTGCCTCTCAGCCTACTGACCCACTTTCCTCCGGCTACGTCTCCCCCAGATCCATGCCCCTCCTTAAATCTTCCTGCTAGCCCAGAGGGAGGAAGGATGAGGCCTGGGGATCACAATGTAGGTGGAACGAGAAACCTGGGTCTGTTTGACAGTTTCAGAAGCAAAGAAGCGTCTCTCTCTTTCCCAAAAAAAAAATCCTTTCTGAGCCCCCCTCACTCAGTCCCACCATACATACATACACAATGCACCTGAGGAGACCTCCAACTCCCTGTCAAGGAGGCTGAATTTCTACACGTAGTCGCTCATTTTGTTTAAAGCGCAGAAAACATCTGCACCTAATAAAAGATGTTAGTGTGCCATTCTAGAAAAGAGAAGCCTTTGATACATTCTTTGGTGTTAATGCTGCGGCATGAAGTATTTTCCCAGATTGCAGTCTGTTATCTGAATGGGGCAAAGATTCCCTAAGTGAAGGGAATATTGAAAGAAAGTTCTGGAGCATGCAATCCTGTCCAGTTGAAGTACTGCAGGAAAAGGAAGCACGCACACACATATGTACACAAATGCACACTCATACAGGCAAATCCTCCATGACTGTGCCTCAGAATCACCTTATTCAATTGACAGAAGCACAGTGTGACTACCATACTTTTGTTACATCCATGAAGTGTGTGTAAAGAAACACAAGTCACACGATCCTTGGCTGGCATGGCTGCCTCTGCCCTGCAAGTGCCCATGGCCACAGGGAGTTGCAATGGTACCAGCATGGGCTTTGCATTAAGTATATTTAGGTTTGAATCCTAATTCTCGCACCTTCTGACACAACCACCTGAATTCAAGTTCTGGTTCTTGCTCTCAGAAGCTGTGTGGTCTTGGGCAGGTGACCTGACTTCCCTGCCTCTCTGTTTCCTCATCTGCAGTGAGTGTAGTAACCTCAGACAATCCATGCAAAGCACTTAGCGTGGTGCCCGCCACGTGCTCAATAAAAATGAACTATCATCACTTCAATTATTAACCATTAGATTTTGGGTAATTTTCCTGCTCTCAGCCTCAGATTCCTCATCTGTAACATGGAGATGATCTTATCTACTTTGACAGGAATATTATGCAGGTTGAAGGAGATATTATGTAGGAGAGTTAGGGAGCACTCAACAGATGACAGCAGTGATGGTGATTAGGAGAAGGAGGATGAGGATGATTTTGACGTTAAATATGTTCAAGCCAAGCCAGAATATTCACAGGTACCAGCCCAAGCCCACCCGTTAACAGGAAAGGTAAGCACCCATTCACCCCTGCCTGCCCCTGGATGGTGACAATATTTGTCTCATCAGGTGGATTCTCTTTGGCCTAATTAGTTTTACGCAATTAGGTCTGAAACTACATATGATATAACCCAAATTCAGGGAATCTCAGCTATTTAATTGTTTCTTTCCTTTTTCCCTTTTCTCTAAGCTCTGATGTAAGGTAGTGTCTCAGGTAATTGACTCATCTGCCCGTATTTGTTCATTACAGCTGTTGCTAGGAAGTTATTATGTAAATGGCCCTGCTCCTCAATCTCCATTATGCTTTCTTCTTGTTATTGTGAGATGGAATTAAGTGCTAGCCCTGTATTGAGTTTTTATTAGAGTCTTTTTATACTTTCTTATTTTTCTCTCCTCCTTTATCAGTCCCTTTAGAAGTTAATCCTTTTAAGGACTTTAAAGAAGATGCAGAAATTCTTGAGCACCTTGGTGGGGAAGGGGGCTGGATTTCAAAGTGGGTTGAGCCTCTCCTTCTTCATTGTGTTGATATTTAGTACCTGGCTTCTTTAATTTTCAAAAAAAAATCAAATTTAAAACATCATCATGCTCCTATAAGCTTCACTACTTCTGATAATCAAATAGCAGGTTTCAACTTGACACATGGATAGGGTAGCAGTGTGCCACGTTCATTACCATCCCTTCTACTGGATTAGGTAACTGAGTCTAATAAAGATAAAAAGCTTCCAAGATAAAAGGAAAAAACAAACACTAGTACCAAAAGTAAACAATAAATTAAATAACTAGCACAAAACCAATTTGGAAATATAGGATTAGGATGTTGCTTTATTTTTTTGCCACATTGCAAAAGATATTTGTTACATGTTCCAAAGTGCAGAGTCAATATAATTTTCACCCCCTAAAGGTATACCGCACATGTATGAAGATTTCAAAACCAGCCCAGCAGGATTTCCAACAAATGGAAAGTGAAGTTGCACATTTCATTTCAGATACCTGTTTCTAAATCATTGATTTTTGTAGAAATGTCACACTGTACTGAAGAGAAGTCTCTCTTTCTCAATAAGCATACAGCCAACTTCCCAGAAAATGCCAACGTTTTTAGTTAAGACAGAAAGCTTCAGAAAAGCCCATGAAATTCAACTCACTCTCCCACCTTATGCACACAATATCCAGCGACTTCAGTTACACACCAGCCTTCATCCCTGCACTTCAGGGGGAGTTTTAAGCCTAAAACAAGGAGTGAATTGGCCCTACCCCTGCTGAAAATTTGTGGGAAGAACAGTGGGAATCAACTACTTACTCTTTAGTTTCAATACACAGAGGAGAAAGGGTTAGACTTATTGCTCAGGGTAATAAGGTCAAAGCTGTAAGGGGTAAAAAGACTGCAGGTTTACACATGTAGTTTTATTTTTCACGATGCTTTAACCTTCAAGCCAAATCTTCAAAGACTAGAACCAGCACTCTAAGAATAGAACACATGTTCAAATTCAGTGTCTCCACCAAAACTATGTACATTTAACTTAAAAGAAGAGATGATGGCTGGAAAACAAATAGAGGAAACAAGAATGAAAAATTCTAGATAAATGTTGAATCTGAGTAAAGTGTCTATAAGGGTTCATTATTACTATTTTCACTATTAATACTTTTGTGTGTGTTTGAGAATTTTCGCAGTGAAGTATTTCATGGAGTCCCTCTTACTCAAAGAAGATTGGGAATCACTAGACCAGAGGGTAGAACGGTGACTCAGCCATTTATCTCGTGGAGGAAGGCAAGAATAGTTCCACTGAATAGTGCTTACATTTCTCTGAGGCTCTTGGGCATCAGCATAAAGATGTTCAATGTTCTTTGGTTAAGAGGACCATCCTTCTCAAGAATCATGGTGGCGGATTATGACTTCTCCCCCCTGAAGGCTGAGCTCAATGTGCTTATTGGCCTAATGTCAGTTTTAGAAAAAACTGGGGAGAAGACCTTTGACTGTGGCTAACTATACACAACACAAAGCTTGATGTGGGGTGAATAAAACAGGCAGCAGGGGTAGAGACAGGCAGTAATTTCATAAATGCACTAAAGTGCTAGAGGTGCTATATTAGAAGGAATAGTGGGGTACAGACAAGACAGGGAATCAGAAAAAGTTTCCTAAAGGAGGTGAATCTCAGCAACTTCCTGCACAGCCTGCTGTACAGTCCACAATTCCCAGTCCATTGTAGGTGGTAAGTACTTATTGAATGTTATTGAACACTGTCACCACTCTTTCTTAAAAATTGTCCGTGGCTCAACTCTAAACACAAAATGAAATCCAAATTCTTCAGCCAGTCACTCAGGGCCCTTCATAGCCAGACAACATCCTCCTTTCCAATCTATCCAGACTTATCTCCTGCAATCCCATCTGATATAGTCTGGCTCTGTATCCCCACCCAAATCTTGTCTTGAATTGTAATCAAAATTGTAATCCCCAAGTGTTTGGGAAGGGACCTCATGGGAGGTAATTAGATCATGAGGCAGTTTCCCCCATGCTGTTCTCATGATAGTGATAGTGAGTTCTCATGAGATCTGATGGTTGTATAAGGGGATTTTCCCCCCTTGGCTCTGCATTTCTCTCTCCTGCCGCCATGTGAAGAAGAAAGTGTTTGCTTCCCCTTCCATCATGATTGTCAGTTTCCTGAGGCACCCCACCCCAGCCATACAGAACTGTGAGTCAATTAAATCTCTTTCCTTTATAAATTACCCAGTCTTGGGCAGTTCTTTATAGCAGCGTGAGAACAGATTAATACACTATCTCTGCCTCCAGTCAATCTCAGGGAGCTCATTTCTCCAAACTTCCCTGAACCCTGATAACTCAGCATGTCCAGGTTGCATCTGTGCCCAGCCTAGCACCTCCAAAAGTGAGAGGAAAAGAGAAAGATGCAGGTCCTGAGGTGAGGCCAGGTGGATGCCATTTGCAGCAACAGGGAGAGTCAGGGAGGACGAGTGGCTTCTGCTATAGAACCTCACCAAAAAGTAGGCAAGTCTGTCAATAGTTAAGAAAAATGTTTTCCATTATAAGGCCTCTGCACCCAGATAAAATCCTCCACAATCAGTTCCACAGAGGGAATGCTGCCCTACTTAAAGAAAGGTTTTCTGAAACATTTCTGAATCAGGAGTTCCTAAGTATTCACATGTAGAGTTTATTTTATGTCCTCCAGATCCAAAATACTGTCTCGGTTTTCATTCCTCCAGAAGCAAATGCTAATACAAGGATTTGGGTACAATTAAGTGATTTGGGAGGTGCCCATAGCCTTGCAGGGGAAGGGGCACATCAGACAGAGAAGGAAAGAAGCCAATAAGGAGTGTGTTGTGGAGCAGGTGACAACTGCAGGCAATGGGACCTTAATCCCACTGAGGAGCTCGAGACATTCCATTTAATCTCAGCTCAAGCTGAGACTATCCCATGGGGTAAAGTAGCTGTGATAATTATCTACCAAGTACTGTCAATCATTGGTTGATAACATAAGGAGGGGAGAGTCATCTGGGTTCTGCAGTGGGCCTGTCCTCCTCCCCATGCAGGGCCTCACAGCTCTGGTAGCCAGAGAAAACCTTCAGGCAATGAGGTGTAAGTGTGGGAGGTGGAAGCCAGGCCAGCATGCCTGGAAATTGTAAGTGCTGTAGGGATCTGAACAGTTTATTTTGATGCACTCCCTCAGGTTTATACACACACATATGTAAATCTGTGAACTCATGTGTATTAAACTCTAAAGTTGAAAAAAGTACTACAATGATATCATCTTAATACTGGATAAAGTTCATCTTTTTATATTGTCTTTCTACAGAAGGAGTCAACAAATGAAAAACCATAGGCCAAATCTGGCCCTCTGCCTGTTTTTTAAATAAAGTTTTATTGAAACACAGCCATGCCCAGTCATTTACTATTGCTGCTTGCATGCTACAATGTAAGGGTATAGCAGTTGCAATAGAGATTATATGGCCTGCAAAGCCAAAAATATTTACTATCTGACCATTTACACAGAACACCTTTGTTTCCCTGTTGGCCTTTTTTTTCCTGGACAGATCATTCAAGACTAAGTTCAAAAGTAATCTCTTTAACTTCCTCTGCTGGTCCTTCTACCCTTAAATAAAATGGCTTCCTAACCTGTGTGTCCCTCATGCTATATCCATTCCTCAATATGTCTGTTACTATATTCACTGCTTTGTATATTCCCTTTCATAACCACACCATCACAAGAACTGAGCCTGTTTAGATCCCTAATGTCTAGAGGGTCAATTAATGCATATTTATATAAAATGAATTCATCTGAGGAATTTCATCTCAGTGGTCACTGATCCATCACATGGTGATATAGTTTGGCTCTGTGCCCCCATCCAAATCTCATGTCAAATTATAATTCCCAATGTTGGGGGAGGGACCTGGTAGGAAGTGATTAGATCATGAGGGCAGATTTCCCCCTTGCTGTTGTCATGATAGTGAGTGAGTTCTCACGAGATCTGATTGTTTAAAAGTGTGGAGCACTTCCCCCTTCACTCTCTCTCTCCTGCCACCATGTGAAGGCGTGCTTGCTTCTGCCATGATTGTAAGTTTCCTGAGGCCTCCCCAGCCATGCCTCCTGTACACAGCCTGTGGAACTGTGAGTCAATTAAACCTCTTTTCTTTATAAATTACCCAATCTCAGATAGCTCTTTATAACAGTATGAGAACGGACTAATACAGATGGGCTCCAGAAAGTGCAGAGAACTTGCTCAAGATCACATAAGTGGCTAGGTAGATTCCACTGTTGCTAGTGCAGGGTTTTCAGTTCTATATAGGTATAATCAAGCCACTGACTGCCTCTGCAGTGCATATACCACATTTAACAACACAGGCATTTTTGGAAGAGCAACTCAAGGTTATGACCTTAATCCACACATCCACTTCTTGGCCAGGACCTCAATACCTGGTGGTCATGTCTCTGTAGGCGCCCCCAGAGTAGCCATGGTCTACATCTCTGAAAATTCTCCTCCTTATACTAACCCAGTGCTCCCAGATCAAATCTCAAAAGTCTCTCACAGTTATGGCTCCATGACCTGTTATCTTTCAAAACCACCTTAGGTGTCAGTAATAAATCTTTTGCTTTCTGAAGAGGTAAATCAAAGCTTTGGACATTACTAGCAAAAAATGGCTTTTCATTATTTCTGCCTTATAACCACGGTGTTCAGATGGCACCTTTCAGAGCTGCCAAAATAGTAAACAATAACAGAACATCTTTACTGCCTGATAACTAGAAGCAACTTACCTTCATCAAAATAAATCTCGGCAGATTTCAACACCCTTGGAAAGAGCTGGAGAGGATAAAAGGGAAAAAACAAACCTTAGTGGAATGATATTTTATTTATCTCCTTTATGTCCTGCTTTATAAAAATAGGCATCTTACACCCTAGAATGTGGGCAAAATCTGCATCCAAACAGTTCAGGAAATTTGTTAGCTGCTTAGCAATTTTTTTATGAAATCCAGAAAAAGTTAAGCCATGCTACAGACTAAAGCCTTTGCTATAAACTCCCTATCGGCCAAATCCCCTTGGGGACCCATTTTAAAAACCAAACATTGAGGAATTTTCTTAAATACCCAGGTCCTAATTGATTTTAATGAGTATTTTCCCCTCTTTGAAAAAGGTGGAGCTTAATTTTCAAGAGTTATAAAAATAGCTGCTTCTCCACCTTTCATGTCAGAATCCTACCTTGGAAAAATTTGGCAACAATCTATGTCAAATATATTCAAAGTAATGCTTTGCATTCTATAGATGGTTTAAAGATACTTTTACACTTGTCATTTCATATCTTTAAAATAATCCTGTATGGTAGAACACAGTGGAGGAAAGATAAGTTGAGAAGGTGAGCTACTTCAATGTACAGGGGAAAAAAACAAAGTTCATAATGGATAAAGTAAGCAGTATCATCTTCATTTTTCCAATAAGAATGGCATAACCCTGAAAATGTGAAGTAACTTCCCCAAATTCACAAGGAGCCCAGAAAAATGATAAAAGTCCAGGCCTTCTAGTGTAAGAGGACTACATCAAGTAGA
This sequence comes from Homo sapiens, assembly GCF_000001405.40. Lineage (NCBI taxonomy): Eukaryota > Metazoa > Chordata > Mammalia > Primates > Hominidae > Homo > Homo sapiens. The sequence goes on from NC_000006.12 coordinate 156,404,990, forward strand.
AGAGGTTAACAACAAGGCCAGGCCTCCCCTCCAAGATTTTTTCTTAGATAATATTTCATCAGTGTCCAACAATGCAAACTGCTCTTAATTATACTTTGTAAGCATTAAATAAATTTTAATTAAAATAGAAACAGTCATAATAGAGCATCTTAAGGTTATAACAAAAGCTATAAAATGAAATGACTGAGTGGTGTTTACATGGGAAGTACTAAGCCTTTTCAACAGATTTTCCCCAAAACGCGTTAGATATCTTGGCCCAGACCTTAGGGACGGTGTGGGTGAGAGTAATTTGAAGAGGACTGCATCAAGTTGAAGAGGCTAACAACAAGGCCAGGCCTCCCCTCCAATATTGTTTCCTAGATGATATTTTCACCACCCCTTACTGAGGACAAAGTCTATGATCATTTAAGGACCTACCAATAACACTGCTAAGCCTGACACAAAAAGTTTACAGAAAAAATTATTACCTCAAAAGGAGTTTAAAATCATTCCATCAACAGCCACTATATGGACAATGCACATGCTATTATTTTAAGACAACATATGGATAAATGTATCCATCCCCTGAGAAAAGTACAATACTCCAGTGGGAACTTTTCTCCCTATCTGTCTCTCTCTTTGGAAAAAGATTTTTATTTATGGTTGTGAAAACAAGAAAAGCTACCTATGCATTAATAAGGACGGGCAAAACCCACTGTTGCTCACTTAGCTACAAATAGTAGCCCCTGAGAAAATTATCCATTCAAATAATAATCTCTTAAAATGATATTTGACTATTATATACCCAATGTGGTTTATGTTGAATTTAATTTCCATCTAAATTTAAAATACAGGAGACATCTAAAGCCATTATTTCATTTCGAGTTGAATGAAGTAAGTCATTTGGAAGTACAGTTTAATTTTTAAAAGTCACAGCATAACTAAAGGAGGTTTAGTCAGTCTATTTCTGCTTTGGAAATACACAAGAGCAGCCTGGAATGCTTACATGTAAAGTGCTATATTATAAAAAGGAGCAAAATTAAGTAGTCAGATATGTTTGCTACATTAAGACAAAATGAAAACTACTGTGATCAGAGCAGTTTGAGAAAAATGGATGTAAAATACTTTCCATTTAAATTACAGCAACAGCTACAATTAAAAGAGCACTTTGTTATTTGCACTAGATAGCGGAAGATGGTTTTCATTTGCAGTTTGGTGGTTTTTGTTTTTTTTAATATGCATGGGTTGCTTCAAAGCAGGCCAGTCCTGCAGCCCTACTTGGGCAGGCCCCCAGCCCTCCTGAATGGCCCTCCTGAGGAGCAAGGGCTCTGCCCGGCTTATGGAAAAGACACAGGAAAGCAGAGTCCCAGGAAATCTAACCATGCCTGCGTGGTCCAAAAGAACAAAACACACAGGCAAATTCAGCTTGCTGAGGGATGCTCATAGCTGTGCTCTGTTATCAATTGCAAATGGCTATGTTGGATTCTACAAAATGGAGAAATTTTAACCCACTAATACTGAGAAAGGCAAATGTAAGTCTTTTTTAAAAATTTGTATTAGTTATTAAAATAAAGATAATGCCTGTTTTTTTTTTTGCAAAATATCAATACAAATTAATCAAGACTGAACTGTGAAGACTGAAAATCAAATCTATTCTTCACCACTGGTTAGAGTTGGTTATTTATTTGTTTGTTTATTTATTTATTTAGAGACAGGGTCTTGCTCTGTTGCCCAGGCTGGAGTGCAGGGGCATGATCATAGTTCACTGCAGCCTCAAACTCCTGGACAACTACTCAGGAGGCTAAAGCAGGAGGATCACTTAAGCCCAGGGGTTACAGTTAGAGTTATATTCCCACAGAGATTCCTGTGAATTTTCACATACAAGGCTGAGATCACACCAGGTATGCTCTTTTATGAGACACACACCCTCATGCCTTTTTGCTGACCAAAAGCCTCAGGGACACACATTTATGGCTTCCAGAACTTTTGAGGAAGGTTGCAAGCTGTGAGCAGAAATAATGAGTCTAGCATTTCCTCCGAACTAGAAAGAAACCTCATTTGCATTCTGGTGCAACCTCACCATTATCCCACTTACCGTAGGGCCCACCAGTAAATAGAAAATTGGATTTTTTTGAAAAAGAAAAAAATCCACAATATGGGTGTGTGTCGACGTTGAATAATAACACTACAGGATTTTTTCATATTCTTGTTAATAGTCTGTAATCCAGTTTGACATTTGGATATCTTTGCAAAAAAAAATTAGAGAGGGACTTTTTCTGGATCCTATAGACAGGCCTATACAGTATATCCCAAGTTTGTCTAATAATATAAATTACCTGAAAGTTACTTCAAACCAAAAATCAGGGTCTCTCCTCTGGAGACTTTGACTTTCTACATCGTGGATGGGGCCATTTGATCCATATTTTTACCAAGTGCTTCAAATGGTTCCTACACTCACATGGCTTGATAAACTCTGTTATATGCAATAGGGAAAACTCAGGACTCACTAGACCTGAAGAACGAAAGGGAAGGGGTACTCCTCTGAGTCCAGAAATGACTCAGAAGAGAAGAAACACATCATAAAAAAGCAGACAAGAGCTAAGAAATAGCCTGCCCCACTTTCTCTTCATTTCTGTGTAGACCAGGACAAGGAGGCCCATTACTCCCCGCTTTTTAGATTTCTTACAAGTTCCCTGTTTGTTATCTTATACAGTAGCTATCTATTTCTCTATGCTTATTAGCAAAACAACTTTTTAATCAAAAAAAGGGGAGTCTGAATAATTCAGATTAGGAGACAGGATACCCTCTTTTGTGGCGAACCTAGAATGAGGAGGTGGCCTGGGTTGTGAGGCCAACAGGGAGAAAAGAAACATAGGCGAGGGGTCCACAAGGGATTCTGGAAATCTGTGCACTGACATAAGTTCTGGAAAGTTCTTGTGACAGGAGTACAGTAGAGAGGAATACACCACAGAAGCAGCTTCTGCTGTTTGTGACATAAGTGACTTGAAACCCCAGGAATCGCCCAGACTTCCTGATTGTCCTGGGCCTCCCCGGGAGAGAAGCCTAGATCGGCAAGCTGCAGGCACTTGCCTCAACACACTCAGTGAGCCAACCACAACAGAATGGTGTTTCCGAGGACTTGACACATCTCCATCGTAGAAGACACCAAGCATCTGTGGTCCCTACAATCACACCAACAGTTGCTGGGTGTTTCAAGCAAACTTCAACAAATGATGTGTACCAAAAAAATAGAAAGCATAAATGAGACATGCTATTTTATCAGACAACAGGGTGACTATAATCAATAATGATTTAATTGTACATTTTAAAATAACCAAACGTGTAATTGGATTGTTTGTAATAGAAAGGACAAATGCTTGAGGGGATGGCTACCCCATTCTCTGAGATGTGATTATTTCACATTGCATGCCTGCATCAAAACATCCCACGTACCCCACGAATATATACACCTACTATGTACCCACAAAAATTTAAAAAATTAAAACTAACTTCAACAAATGAAAATCCCTCTTTCCTTTCTTATTTATGTCAGTGACTCCACCTACCCTCTTTCAAGCCTACAGATCTAGGCTATAATTCATTTTATGATAAAAAGGAATATCTGTTCATTTTAGCAGTTGCCACTGCAAGGAAATATTTCAAACACATTCATAGTGAATGATCACACTGTATGGCACAGTCAAATTGATATGTGAAGTTCCCAAAATAGTGAGCAATTAATACTGAATGTCCTACAAATCACTGGGCCCTGGCTGAAGACGGAAGCCTTCTTCCTCACATCAAGAAATGAATGTGTGCACCAGATGTGTAAAATAAACAGACTAATGGGCCTGGGGGGGTGTAGCTGTGTCTCTTAGTGATGTACTGTGGAACATCACCGCCCAGAGACAGGACAGTGAGGCACAGGAGAGGTGAGACCCAGGGCGGAGCCACCTTTTCCTCTATTTAGGGTGATGATTGGGGCACATGAGCTGGCCCTGGAGTACTACAAGCTGCCCCAGAACCCAAGTGGTAATAGGGTTCAACTTTAGAGAAATGATTTTGTGCTTTTTATTGGAATCCTGCTGCTGAAGGGATCATTTTACATTCACCTGTCATTGGTTTTTGCATTTTTAAATAGGTCAGTTTTTAAATAGAGTTCACTGTCTATCTAGAATTCTGCCTCCTTCAGTATCTATCTTATCTGCCCAGCCCAGGATCGGCAGAATTTAAAACACAGCTAAAGCAAAGTGGGATTATTTTATTTTAAGTAATAGTGGCTCTTTTGACAATGTGTAACTTGGAAGTTAACTGTTACTGGCTTATGACCTTAGTCCACATAATGGTGATTTAATAAATGTCCTGAAGGAAAAAATACTCACTTACCAAGATCTTAATCTACTACCATGAAGTAACTCCTACTTTTAAATAATCCGGTTAGACACTTATAGTTAATTGTAATGAATAGTCAAAAATCTCCTCTCAATGACAAGACATAATTATTACAAATCTCAACACTGCAAAATAAAATGCATTAGACTAATAAGGCATAGAGACACATCATAAAGTACTTACAGTTACACTATTCATACACATTTTCATTCTGAAAAACCAGTGATTTTTTAATATATTAAATAGATTCATTGATGGAATATCAAACATGTTAAAATTTAGAAAAGTTATAATAAATATTGATATGATACTTAATCATATTGACTTTTTCTAGTTTTCCACCTTTAAGAAAAATTACCATCAGTTTAACATGTCTTTTAATCATTTTACCTTAACTGGAATATAATGAATACAAAATCATGCAACATCTTTTTAATATTTACATAATATTGTTTAGAAGAATATTATATTTTATTACATATTACTTGGATGTTGATATATTTTAAGTTATATTTAGTCTTGGCAATTACAAAGTAATAAGTGCTCATTGAAGAAATATTAGAAAAACAGAAAGGAACAAAGAAGGAAATAAGAACCTCTCATAATCATCACCCAGATGTAACCACTATTAACATTTTATATCCCGGTGCCCCACGAATTTGGAAAGGAAAAATACGTCTTTATATTCTTACTGAAATTTTGCATTTCCCTTAAATATCAATGCAGACAACAAACCACAATAGCATTGGAAGAGAGGGAAACTTAACAGAAATGGAGACTTAAAAAAAAGAACCAAATGGAACTTCTAAAACTAAAAAATGCAATATATGAAATGAAAAAAATCACTGGATAGGCTTAATAACAAATTTAACACTGAAGAAGAAAGCATCAATGGCGGGCCGGGCGAGGTGGCTCACGCCTGTAATTCCAGCACTTTGGGAGCCCGAGGTGGGCTGATCACCTGAGGTCGGGAGTTCGAGACCAGCCTGACCAACATGGAGAAACCCTGTCTCTACTAAAAATACAAAATTAGCTGGGCGTTGTGGCGCATGCCTGTAATCCCAGCTACTCAGGAGGCTGAAGCAGGAGAATCACTTGAACCTGGGAGGTGGGGGTTGTGGTGAGCCAAGATCATGCCATTGCACTCCAGCCTGGGCAACGAGAGCAAAACTCCATCTCAAAAAAAAAAAAGAAAAAAAAAAAAAAAGAAAGCATCAATGAACTTGAAGCCAATTTGAATAGAAATTATGAACCACAGAAATAATAGCAAAGACTGTTACTTTATAATCAATAAAAATCATACATTTTCATACCACATCACAGTTGCTGCAAATATCTTAGTGCATCACTGACACTCACCAATATTTTGAAATTGTATTATTAGACCTATAACAAAATCACATGTAATAATAGTGTCTGTCTATAGATATATGATATATTACATGTGACATAGTAGCCTATTTTATTCAAATCTATTTTATTCAAACCACCTAGTGGTGGTTTAGTGTATTAGTCAGGGTTCTCCAGAGAAACAGAAGTGATAGGAAATACATATGCAGTTATGGTTATAGTTATATATAAATATATAGAGTTATAAATAGTTACATATACATTATATATGTGTGTATACATTATAACCATATGTTACATATATACAATATGTATGTGAAATGTATTATAAGGAATTGGCTCATGTAATTATGGAGGCTGCAGAGTCCCATAATCTGCTGTCTGCCAGCTGGAGACCCAGGAAGGCCAGTGGTACAGTTCTGAGAACCAGAGGGATGATGATGTAAGTCCCAGTCGAGGACAGAAGAAGACCAATGTCTCAGCTCATGAGGTTAGGCAGAGGGAGCGAATTTCCCCTTCCTCTGCCCGTTTGTTGTATTCAGGTTTTCAATGGATTAGATGATGCCTCCCAACATTGAAGGGGGCTGTCTGCTTTACTTAGTCCACCAATTCGCATGCTAATCTCATCTAGAAACACTCTCACAGACACACCCAGAAATAATGTTTAATCTGGGTACCCCATGTCCCAGGCAATTTGACACACAAAATTAACCACATTTAGCCACCAAGCAGTGAAGTAGAATGTTCTCATCACTGGAACTTTACTCAAAAGCTCTGATGAAAGACTTCCAGTTTGGGCCACCATAGAGTAATGGAGATCAGGTGTACTCTGCATGGTAAACAACCATTAAGCTTCACAAAGTGTACGAGGCAATTATTTCCAGCCATTGGCCACACATATCAGAAGGCTGTGATCCATGAGATAAGGGAAACTCATGAGGTAAGCTCCACATCCACCCTGGTTTTCTGCCTGGAAGCACTTTTCCAAAGTGCAGCACATTAAAGTGAAGCCAAAACAGAAATCAGTGTTCTCACTGGACAACAGACACAATCTCAATGTTTGGGGATACTGAGGCAACTGGAATTTGTAGGTCAGGAAAAGATGGACAATGAAGGATCCCTAGAAATTTGCATGGGGTCAATTGCAATAAATCTTGGATAAAAACTAAGTTGTGCATGCTCAGGGAAAGATTCCAAGAAGCCTAGTATAAAAGAGCCACTTGGGTACTGACTCTAATCTGGAGGTTTCACCATGATGGGAAATGGACTACTGACCAGGCAAATAGAGATCTCATGATAAACACTCTGGGCGTTCACTTAAGACCTAAGAAAATTCACACTTCTAGAATGGTGTTGTTCTAAATTAAACTGCACACCTTAAATTAACTGCTTGGCAGGAAAAAAAAACACAATATTTTTAGAGGTAAAGAACATAATTTAAACTATCAACAGCTTGGCATCTATGACATCCAGCATGCCAGTAAAAATACTAGACATATGAAAAAGCAACAAAGTGTGGCTCATAATCTGGAGTGAAAAAAATCACTATAAATAGCCCCAGAGATGACATTGCTATTAGATTTAACAGATAAAAACTTTTTTTTTAATTTTGTAAATACATTCAAGGATGTAAAAGAAAAGGCAGACAAATGACTGAACAGATCACAAATCTCAGCTGAGACATTGAAACTACTTAAAACAAACAAATGGAATTTCTAGAACTGAAAAATAAAATGTCTGAAATAAAATTTTTATTGCATGGACTTAAAAGCAGATTGGACACCGAAGAAGAGATTAGTGAACTTGAAGACAAATAAAAGGAAACTAAGGAAACTGACACTCAGAGAGAAAATAGACTAAATAAATTAACAGAGCCACCAGGCGCGGTGGCTCATGCCTGTAATCCCAGCACTTTGGGAGGCCGAGGCAGGTGGATCAACTGAGGTTGGGAGTTCGAGACCAGCCTGACCAACATGGAGAAACCCCGTCTCTACTAAAAAATACAAAATTAGCCAGGTGTGGTGGTGCATGCCTGTAATCCCAGCTACTTGGGAGGCTGATGCAGGAGAATTGCTTGAACCCAGAAGGTGGACGTTGTGGTGAGCCAAGATCGCACCATTGCACTCCAGCCTGGGCAACAAGAGCAAAACTCCATCTCAAAAAAAAAAAAAAAAAATGAACAAAGCCTCAGTGACCTGTGGGACAATATTGAGTACTCTAACATATGTGAAATTGGAATTTAAGAAAGTAAACAGAGAGAACCTGTAACAGAGAAAAATTTAAAGAAACAATGACATTTTTTCCAAATTTTTTCTAAATTTCCAAATGCGCAGAACCAAAGAAATTCAACACAACCCAAAAATATATACACAAAAAAATCCTCACATCGATACATCACATTCAAATTGCTGAAAACCAAAGATAAGGAAAATACAACCCACCCACCCCCACCAAAGACAAAGACAAATTACAGTAGTCCTCCCTTATCCATGGTTTCATTTTCTGTGGTTTCAATTACCCGTAGTCAACTGAGGTTCAAAAATAGTAAATAGAAAATTCCAAATTGTAAGTTTTAAATTGCACACCATTCTGAGTACCATGATGAAATCCCACAATATCCCATTTTGTCCCACCCAGGATGTGAATCATCCCTTTGTCCAGTATATCAGTTGTAAACACTAGCCACCCATTAGTTACTTAGTAGCTGTCTTGGATATCAGATCAACTGTTGCAGTGTCACAGTATTTGTATTTAAATAAGCCTTGTTTTACTTAATAATGGCCCAAAAACGCAAGAGTAGTGAAGCTGACATATTGTTATAATTGTTCTATTTTATTATTATTGTTGCTAATCTTTTATTGTGCCTAATTTATAAATTAAACTTTATCATAGGTGTGCATGTATAGGGGAAAACACAGTGACATGTATATAGGATTTGGGGGTCTTGCAATATATCCCCTGTGGATAAGGGGGGATACTGTAATGTATTCTCATTTTGAAGATGGAAGACGGCATGAGCCAAGAAATATGGGCAGCCTCAAGAAACTGGAAAAGGAATTGAAGAGATTCTCCCTTAGAGGCTGCAAACGAAATGCAGCCATCCTTCTGACACCTTTGTTTTAGCCCTGTAAGACTCATTTTAAACTGCTGACCTCCATAATTATAAGATAATAAATTTGTGTTGTTTTAAGCCATTTCTGTTTTAATAGTAATAGGAGATAAATACAGTGATATAGCTAAAATGTTAATGGAAGAGATTAAATGGTATAAAAAAAACTAGGTTAACTCTAAAAGGACATGTAAGAGCGAAAAGAGAACAAATGAGGAAGAGAACAAATGAGAAAAACAAATATTAATAAATTTCTAAGGAGTGAAATCAAAGTATGTTCTGTGACCACAATGCACTTAATTTGAAATCAATTTTTAAAATCTAGAAATTCCCCCAAATACTTAGAAATAGCGCATGATACTTCTAAACTATCCATGAATCAAGGACAAAATCATAAGGGAAATTAGAAGATATTTCAAATTGAACAATAATGTAAATCTAACATATTAAAATGTATGGGATGCCCCTAAAGCAGTGCTTAGAGGAAAAATTATACCTTTAACGCTTATATTTGTTTAAAAGTTTTTAAATTAATCATCTAGAATTCCACCTTAAAGTGAAAGAAAGTAGAAAGCAATGGCACTTAAAACCTAAAGTAAACAGAAGGGAAAAATTATAAAGATCATAGCAGAAATAAATAAAATTAGAAATAGACAAGTTATAGGAAAAATGAACAAAGCCAAAATATTTTTTCTTAAAGTGAATAGTTAAATCGATTAACCATAGTACATAGCAAGACTAATCAAAAAAAAGTGAAAGAGAAAAAAAAAACATGCACAACTGTTTTTTAAAAACTGGCAGTTTGTATTAAAGTTAAATATAAATGTGTCCTGTAACCCAGCAATGTTACTCCTAAATATTTACCCAATTTACTCAAAATTGAAATGTAGTTCTACAAAAAAGACTTAAACAAGAATGATAATGGCAGCTTTCTTCATACTAACCATGCACGAGAAATAGCCTAAAAGTCCATCAACAGGAGAATAAATAATTTGTTTATAATAAAATACTTCTTGGCAATTAAACAAATGAACAATTGTTACATACAATAACATAAAGGGAGCTTAAAAGTAATAAGCTTAAGGAAAGCCAGATACTGAAGAGCACATACTCTATGACTCCATCTGTGAAAAGCTGAAAACAAGCAAAAGTCATCTACAGGAACAGAAATCAGAAAATGATCTAGGGGAAGGAATTAGGATTAGGCATTAGCCACAACTCATGGAACTATACCTTAAGATTGTGCTTTTCGCGGTCTGTAAATAATATCATAGTTTTTAAAAAACTAACATATAAGGAAAAAAATCAAAGATCTGGAAAGAAAAAAGAGACTTGAAGAATTCTAGTGTTTCTTAAGAGAGCCTATTTTCATCTCGTAAAGGAAGATATGGAAGCAATTTATTCTACTTACAAAAGTAGGTCTTTGTAAATTTCTATTTTTGCCACTTTTAACAATCAAAAAGAAATCAAAACTGACTGGATGTTCAGCACGAACAAGTGTTTCCTTGGTAAAGACCACTCTAACTCTACAGTTTAACGTTCTTATTCGAGCTGAGTCATAATGGCCTTCACACTGATTTGTCCTTAAAGATGAAATTGAACTTTAGTATACCTGTACTTAAGTGTATTCTCATTTGGTGTGATAATTAAGAAGCATGTATATAATTATATTAAAAATTTGTCTTATAACATTTTGTAACTCCATTTGTCTTAGTTCATTTGTACTGCTATAATAGAACACCACCTATGGGGTAATTAGTAAAGAGCAGAAATTGCTAACAGTTCTGCAGTCTGGGAAGTCCAATATCAAAGCATCAGCACGTTCAGTTGTCTGGTGAGGGCTGCATCCTCAGGAGGGGAAGGTCACTGTGTCCTCACATGGCTGAAGGCAGAAGGGAAAGAGAACCAAATGCTGCATGAAGCCTCTTTGATAAACGCCTTAATCCCATTCATGAGGGAGGAGCTCTCACAGCCTAATCACCTTATAGAGGCCCCACCTCTTAATATTATCGCATTGGCAACACTTGAATTTTGTAGGAAACACATTCAAAACATAGCAGCATTTAAATATAATTAGCTTCTTTTGTTATGTTATTTTTTATGCATTTTAAAACATTAATTTTAGAAGTACATAAGCTTCATAAGACTTCATGGCATAAAACAGGTTAAGAACTCATGAAAATAATTTTAAACTTTACTTGAAATATACATACAAAAATGGATTATACTATTTTATAACTTGCTTTTTTGATTTTTGCTTAATAATATAAAATGACATAATTCCATATCATTAGTCTTCTGCAAGACTATTCTTTTTATTTAACTGCATCATTTTTCATTCATCAGATAGTCCATAATTTTACCAATTTCTTGTATTTGGATAATCACATTGTACCCAATCCTACGAATATTTTGAAGAATATTCCTTTCTGTTAATTCTAGCATAACATCTTCTGTCTTTACACGGCCAAGCCAACCTTTTTATGATTGATGAGAAATTTGATCCTCATCAAATAGAGGAATTATGAATCCCACATGGTTAAGGAGAAAGTATTCCTATGGCACTTCAGTTAAGTATCTTTGTAGCACTAATTGCATTCCACTACATAATACATTTTCTTCATTCAATATTTAACAAATATTTGAGTACCTGCTATGTGCCAGGCATGAAGGGTGGGAGGGGTTGCAATTTTAAAGGTGTTCAGCGTGATACAAGACCATGTCAGAGCAGCAATGGTTGACAGACTGCAGAGGGCTGTATAAGCCACCAAGAGGAGTCTGGCTTTTATTCCAAGTGAAATGGGAAGCCATTGGAAGGCTTAGAGCAGAGAAGAGACTTGGTCTTCTTAGTCATCAACAGAATCACTCAGGTGCTGTGCAGACAAAAGTCTTTAAGGAAAAGAGGGCCAAAGCAAGGATTATGGCTAAAAAGCCATGGCAGTCATGCAAGTGGCATGTGTCTGCTTCTCCTCTGGGTTGTAAACTTCTAGAGGGCAGGAATCATGCTTTGCTTCTCTTAATATCCTACAGTGGATATGGATCAAAATTAATTGAACATCCTAGGATTGAGGGGCACCTATCAGTCATTAGAGGCAGGCAAGATCCTATAATCTTATGGAAAAAATAAAGACTTTGGAGTAAGATAGAACATGGGTCAAGTCTGCACTGCTTCTGAGCAAGTTATTTAACTTTTCTGAGATTCACCTGCCTCATTTTTAAAATTATGGGTGATGTATCTAATTCATAGAGCTATCGAAAGATTAATGAAATAGTGTTAGGATAGCACTTGGTAATAGTATCCAGTACATGGGAGTATCTAGTTAACTTCTCTAGTTATGTTTCCTCATCTATAAAATAGAAAGCTTTGAGAAAATGGCCTGTGAGGTCCCTTTTATGAGTCCTTAAGTCTATGAGCATTCGATCTGTCCATCTGTCAACAGACATAATGACTTCTGTGCTTAAAGACTAAAACTACAAAGTGAATAAAACATATTTTTTGACTCTCAAAGAAATGATGGTCCAGTGGAAAGAGAAAAATAGTAAATTCTGGAATAGCAGTAGATAAAAGGTGGTAAATGTATAAAGATAGTAGTCCACCTGTGTGTCAATTGCCCGATTTTATGGATAAGCAAGAAGCAAGCCCGTGACAAGCTAGATAGTGGAAGAGCAATAGTAGGGTCTTCTCATTTCTGGCTTTGAGGGGCCCTGAGACCTAATCAGACTCAATAACTCACACATGCCCTTGAAATTCACAGCACTATGCCATACCTGGTCACACCTGCAGGGGTAACCAGGTTTGTAGAAGCCAATTATTGACCAAAAAGATTTGTACCACTTCATACAGATGGACGTGCCAGGAACAGCACTATCTGTCAAAATACATTTACATGAAAGGAGAAAAGGTCATTATGGGAAAGATTAATGTTGATTTTCCCGGCTTCACTTGGGTTTAAAATCAGAAGCTTAACTCTTCATTACCACAGGTGATTAAGCTGATCACACCATTATAACTAGTAATCGTTCAGATTGTTTGATTAGACTAATTCACTGTCGTTATTCAGACACTCATTTCTTGGCAATGTTCTTCCATCTACACAGCACAAAAGAAAAAGGGGAGTTTGTGTTTATACATTCATAATCCCTTATCAGAAATTCTGTGTCAGATGGTTTCAAAATTCAGAAATTTTGGTATTTCAGAAAGGTGATTTGGTATAAATCCCTTTCAGTATTGTAACACTCCTAGCAGGGTCTGGACAGCACCCTATAATCAAACGGCACAACATATCAAATGTCCTATTAAGCAGGATAAGTAAAGATTATACAAGGGCCTTATGTGCACTTGGGTCCGTTTGCCTGCCAAAGAAGTCCAAGTCAGCTCAGGTTTTGCCACTAAATTAGAAACAAAAAACTTTAGACTTTTTGGATCCCAAAATTGTAGATAAGCAATTGTGGGCTGTGTTAATTTATGGAGAGAACAACTAGCTGATTCTTACCTAAAACCTCTATTGACATACCTAGGTTATATACACTGACCGATAATCAGAATTATGATCAGAACTCTTTCACTGAATGCTGTATCCACTTGCAGAGAAGGAAGGAAGGGCAGGTATCTATGGCACTGCTTCCTTTATTTGTAAAGTTTTATTGGAACACAGCCATAACCTTTGGTTTACCTATTGTCTTTATGCTACAACAGCAAAGCTAAGTAGTTGCAACAGTAACCACATGGCCCAGAAAGCCTAAAATATATACTATATGGCCATTTACTGAAAAAGTTTCCTAACTTCTGACCTAGAAGTAGCTTCCTAATCCTGATCTCAGTGCTATGGTCAGTCACTACTAATAGATCAGAGGTGACATTCAAGATGAAACCTATTTCCATGCCTGGAATAGTGGGTCAAAAGTAGCCTCCATTAGGCTATAACATGCAATTGCCCTGCTTAAAAGAAATACAATGATTCATCTGTTTTACAATTCATTGATAAATTCATTGAAAATAATAACTACCTTGTGTAAACTTCTACAGCATCATATGAACAAATATCTCAAGTCTCCATAGCCACAAGTATAATTCTTTTCATTTTTAAAAAAAAAGATGAGAAATATAGGATAAGAAAGGTTGGAAGTTTTTCAGAACCACCAAAAAAGCTTTGGATGTTTTTTTCAGAACCAACTGGCACAAGGTCTATTTCATTTTGTGTTTAAAAATAAGAAAAATGATAATTCTGATTTTTCTCCGACGGCATATATTAGTATAGTACCTTATTACCCTGAGGTGGGTGCCCAAGCTGAGGAGTGGAGGAAATATTCCCAGCATTAGAGTCATCTCAAAGCGAGGTATGAATTACCTTGACAAAATATAGCTCCACCTCAGTGGTTAATAGCTGGCCTATTCAAGTTTGTGTCAACATGAAAGAGCTTTTTATCTTCTTTCTGTTTTTATTCAACGTAACACCATAGTGGGAACCTGTAGGGTTGATTACAACCTAATGAATGAATGGATGTTCTTCACATAACCTAGAGCCGTTTCCACACATAATTCTTTCCCCAAGGCCACCCTGCTGATTGGCCATGCACCAACCAACACAAATGCCAATTCTTGGAGACGGACGATGCCCTCGCTCAATGACTATGCAGGTAGCGTTTCCACTCTGTCCAGAGCACTGTGCTAGGCACCGTAGAGAACTTTTGGAAGCCTAACCCTTTCTTACCGAACTAAATAATCTTATAATTTAATTGGGAAAGCAAGGCACACACACATGAAATTAAACAATGAAAAGAACTAAATAATTTTAGGCAGTTTGTGATCATTTGCCAAACATCAGCCCAATTTTCCAAATACTTCAGCATAAATCACATTGTAGCAAGAGTTCAAAACTGTCTGGAAAATCCTTCTCATCTAACATCATTAATGCATGTTTCAAACAGTGAGATTTCTATTTATTTTGACAACTATTCCCAGTGTTGGGATGTGGCACGCATGTATGAAAAGATGAGTAGACAGCCATTTGACAACCTAATTTTATAATATGGATTGTGAAAATATTTATGAGAGGTTTTTATCCTATTTAGTATTTCTTACAGAGAATCTGGGAATCCCCAAATATTATAGGTTGAGGCAGTTTAAAAGTAGGAAATGCTACACTTTTGTCTACACAGGTGGACGTGAAGGATGAAAGAGTAAAGTGACTTCCCCATAAATCACATTGACAGTAGGAAACTAGTCTGAATGGAGTTCTAACTTGAAGCTGGTGGAAGGGAAGGATGGGCTACAATGACATGGATCATATAAAATTGCAATTATCTTCCTACTAGGGAAAGGCCTTAGGTGTATCCAGGAGATCTGTAGGAAAAAACAAATTAAAAAAAAAAAAAAAACAGAAGGAATCAGCTGGGCAGCTGAAGAATCCAGTCCAAGATTCAAGGTAACCACTAAAAGACTGACTGGTTTGTCGGGTGGTAGGACATTTAACACTGCTTTTGGAAGCAAAGTAGCTGCAAACAATTCCAGTGCAAAGGAGGATAGAATAATATTACGCAAGCTAGAAAGCAGAGTCTGGATTTATGGATCCCTTTTCTGTGGGCAGAACTAAAGAAAGGATTTTCCTATCACGATGAGAAAAGAGCCATTTCCCAACAAGTGTCAGTGTTTAGGGGGACCAGCCATCCCAGCTTTCCCAGCACTCTCAGTTTGGCACTGAAATTCCCACATCCTGGGAAATCCATCAGTCCCAAGATATTGGTAGCCCTAGCAGGAGTGCCATGGCGCAAACTCTGTGAGGACATTCACCAGGTTCAGAATTGGACAGACAGACCAGCTACTTCCTAAGAATTCTGACGTTTGGCACACACAGAAAAGTCACCCCTATTCTATCTATTAAAATGGCTCACACCTCCAATTAAGTTGTTCAAATTTCCAACTAAAAAGCTATCACTGCACAGCAAGTCCACATCTGGGGACTGTCAGAGCAGTCAGCCAAATCACACAGGAAAAACACTCTCTTTTGGAATAATCTTTGCATGAGTCAATCTGGGATTTGTTTTTTTTTTTTTTAACCAATTTAACATGGAAGAAGAAGATATCTTTGTTTCTCATTCTCCTCTTTCTTGCTTAAATGGTACCTTTGTCAAAATGTCTGTGATTATACAGTGACAAGCACAATGCAAGTCCTTATAGGTACTTTTTCCTTAAAGTTACTCAGTAGCTTAGAAACTTTATTTTTAGCAAAGTGCTTTTAATAAGAGGATTTTGAAAGGAAAGTATCAAATGCACAGGTGAGAACAATTCAGTTCTGTGCTGTGCAGGGCTGGCCTTTTTCCACAGCAACTCCTTCCTGAGGCCATCCCTGTCTCTAACAGTTCATTGTTGGGGTGATCGGACCCAACACCAGGTCCTGAGGGTGACAAAGTCTGGCAGAGTCAAAGGAATGAGAAAAAGACAGTTTGAGAGAGAAAAGTGGGTCCAGGGGGCCATCGCTAGTGTATGGAGGCTGCGAAGGCCCCGAGCTCTGGGAGCCCAGACTATTTATTGGTGATCAAACAAACAAACCGGTGTTGAGAATGTGGGGGTGGAAAGGGCAAGCACATGATCTACAGCTGTGGCAGTTTAGCATGTGCTCTGCTACTTGAGATAATGGAGAGCAGGTTCTTTTAACTCAAGATACAATCAATCCTGGGAGAGCAAGGAGCCAGCAAGTCTAGACACATTCCAGAGCCACAGGCCCTGGATTCCATCCAAGCCACGAGGGGTTTTATGCCCTGGGCTTAGATTATGTTGCATCAGGGTAGCCTTCCACCCTTTAGCACAGAGCTTCACGTTCCAAAGGCCACAAGGGGTTTTAGACCCTGTACCCTGGTCATGTTCCAAGACTCTTTTACATTATGTCAGACATGTAAGCCCTGCCTCAACTTCTCCCAACACTCAGCTTTTCTCCCAACATTCATGGCAAAGAAGCCCAATCCAACACAGATGCCGGCCTAAACCCAACATCACCACAGAGGAAACTCAAATGTCCTAAAAACAAGACCCTGCACCAAAACCAAATAGAAATGGGCAAATGGCATTGGGCTGACATACTCCTTGTAGTTGGCCAATACGGGTTGGTCTAGGGAAAAGTACTGGCCCATTTTTGTAGTCAGGAGAGTCATTGACATGCTTCAGTTTAGGCCTTTGTAAAGCAAGATTGTGGAACTAGAATGACCTCTAACTTCTTTGTAGCCATGAAGACAGTGGATAACATAATTTACAACTTTGCATTGACTCATATGATCAAGATATGGCTTACGTAATCTTGCAGGAAATGTTGGAGGGCCTTCTCTCTGCTAGATGGCATCTAGGTCCTGTGCTAATCTTGTTTACTTTGGTAAATAAACATGACCCTCTGCCCATAGAGTTCACAGTCTCACGGGAAAGGGACAAGAAGCAAGAAAACAAATGAGGTATAGGTAAGAATTGGGACAAGTATGAATTGAAATGATTACATGAAGCACATGGAAGAGGAATAACAGGACAGATAAGGGGGCCCCCATCTGATGGTTCCTACTTTTTGAGTGAGGTATGGGGTAAAGTCACCAGCTAGGTGTACCCTGGGGAGAAAAGGACAGAGAGATTTGAGAAGAAAGAGTAAGTATGAAGTAGCCATGTTGAGACAGGGGAGTTTCCTGGAACCCTTCGAGGGACTTGCAGCAGGCGTATGGCTTGCTTACTTGGCCACCGCACTCAAACCTGTTGCGGGAGGAAAAGCATGCAGACAAGCAGGTGCTGGGGCCAGGATAAGTGCTTTTGGGCTCCAGCCCCATGGCAGCATCTAGGGGTATGTTACAATTAATGCTCTTTTAGCAGTTGTCATCCACAAACAGCTAAGTGTTAACCAGCTCAGTGGAGAGTCAGGGTGACAGCCTTTTACACCCTGACCTCTTGGTACCCAAGTCCTTGTCTGGCATCCAGGAAGAATCAGGTCACACAGATGTGAAGGATGTTGAATGTGGAGGTTTTATTGAGAGATGGAGGTGGCTCTTGGTGGGATGGGGAGCTGGAAAGGGGATGGAGTGGGAAGATAATCCCAGGAATGGGAAGATAATTCCCCAGGAGATTGGCCAGGGATGGTCCTGAGCTCCTCTTGACGTTCAGATGCTTCCTCCCTTCTCTTTTTCTCCACTGTGCCGCTCTGCTCCCCTGCCAGTGGAATTTGGGGGTTTTATGGGTACAGGATGCAGGGCGTGGTGGGCCACAGTGGTTTTGGAAAAAGCAACATCCAGGAGGGAAAACAGGGATATGAAGTGCTCATTTAGGGCCATGGGCCCAGGCTTGTGGGTGGGGCTTTTGCCAGGGAACCACCCTCTTGTACTCAGTATTGCCCTGCCTCCTGTCTGTTTCAATCTCAGACGGGGAAAGGGAGTTTACAGAGAAGTGTGGTAAGAAGGCCAGGAAGGACTGGGAACACTTCTGAGGTCTGAGAGCAAGAATTTAAAAGGAACCCTGTCTGCTGAGTTGTGGTTTCCTCCAACAGCTCAGCAGCTCAGATACAGGCCAGACAATGTGGGCAGCTGAACTCATCGCACAGTGGGTCTCAGACGGACTGGACGTTAGAATAATGTGAGCACTTTTTTTAAAAATTCTGATGCCTGGCTCCTCCCCCCGAGACTCTGCTCGGGTGATCTTTGGTGGGGCACAGTCATGGGTAATTTTTAAAGCTCTCTGGTGGTGTTAATGTGCTTTGGGTTATAAGTTTTGAAAAAAGGGTAGGATAGCCAAAAAGAAGCAGGTGTCAACATCATCCTGATTGAGCAAAGAGCCTAAGCTGGACAGAAAATGCAGGGATGCTGGGAGGACATTAATGAGCCATGAGAAATTAGGGGGCTCAATAGATCACAATGAGGTCAATGAATTACTATAATGGGGCTTCCTGGAGCAGTTAAGCAGGAAAGATAAAAACATTAGATAGGAGCATGGGCATTCGCATTTGAGATACTTATGGGATTTCTAAAAGTTGTTATGGTACAGAAATCTAAGATGTGGTCCTGGGAATGGGTGGTTGACCAACCAAGGAAAGAGACTAACCCTTGAAATGAGAAGGCCAGGGAGCTGTGCAGCCAGGATGTGGCAAACACCACCAACCTGGGTCTCGCGTTGCCAAGCACTGAGGTGGAACAGAAGACTTTGAACTAGAAATTAGGTCTCCAGTGAATGACAGGGTGTGGTGAGGACACAACCATGTCCTGGAGTCAGCAGAGTTAGCGGGGTTTCTAGGAAATCAGGCAGGAAGTGAGGGCCTCCAGGGGGCCAGGGGCCTGAACCAGATAGATAAGAGGCCTCAGATGAATGGGCTGAGGTTGGAAATCTAATCCAAGAAAGCAGGTAAGATTTACACCTCCAACTGGGTGTCTTTGTTGCATTCCAGACTCACCAATCCAGAGGCATATTCAATATATGTACCAGATGTCTAAAGCCATCTCAGCTAAGCATGTGAAAAACTGAGCTTCAGATATCGTGCACCTCCCAATGCCCCTGAGCTGGCCCCTGCAAGAGCCTTCCCAGCTCACTTGGTGGCACTTTTATCCTTCCTGCCACTCAGGCCAACTCCCCTGGAGTCACCTTGACTCTTCTCTTTCTCTCATTTCCTACATCTACTTTTCCATCTCTACTGCAAGCCAGCATTGCCTTTCTCTGAGAGTATTGCAGTTGACTCTGAACCAGTCTCCCCACTTCCACCCTTAACCTCCTACAGTCTATTATCAACCCAGCAGTGAGAGTAGTGCTTTAAAAGCTAAATCAGCTTGCTCCTCTCCACAAACCCTCCAGTGACTTTCCATCTCATTCAGAGGAAAATGCAGAGTCTATTCTGTTCTTCCGGGCCCTATGCAATATGGCACCTGCAATTTTTTTTACTCACCTCCACTCCTCTCACTCTGCTCCCCCAGCTCCAGCCACCCAGTCTCCATTCCTAAGCTAACACACCAGGCCTGCTTCCTTCCTAGGACATTTGCACTTGCTGTTTTCTCTTCCTGAAATACTCTTTCCCTAGAGAGGCACCTGGATGGCTTTAAGTCACCTTTTCAATGAGGCCTTCCCAGACCACCCAGTTAAAATTGCAACCCATGTTCCCGACACCCCTTATCCCATTTCCTGTTGTACTTTTCTCATAACTCTTATTGTCAACTCATTGATATTAACATTACATAATGCATATAATATCTTATACTTATTATGTTTGTAGTCTGTATTCCCATTCTGGAAGTAAACTGCATGAGGACAGGGAATTTGTTTTTGTTCACTGCAATATCTCCTGTGCAGAGCCAGACACGTAGGAGATATGTAATACCTATTTGTTAAACAGATGAACAAATAAATCAACGACTGTGACCAGAGATTATTCAGTGTCTAGGGTTCACCCAGACATGGGGATTTGAATTTTTATTGGGGATAACAAGACTTAGGTCAAAGAGCAAGACACAGAACCAAAATCATGATAAAAATTTTAAGTCCTTGACTTAAAAAAGTATGACTTCATTTTCATCCCCAGAAGTTAAGGGAATGAGGAATCTTAATGTGCACTTTCTGCCTCCATCTGTGAGGCTCATGAGTGACTGAAAATGCAAGTGGGAGGTAAAAGAAATAAGGCAGGAACTAACCAAATTCTACTCTAAGAAAAATACTTGAAATTTGCAAGCATAATGGTGTGCCGGATGCTTCTGTTGAGAGAGAGGTGGTCACGTGCATAGTGCAGTTTGCTGGATAAAATGTGGTCTCAAAACATGAGTCAGAGGCCCCTAGAAAGTCTGGAATTTCTAATAATTAAGTTTCCTCAGTGCAATAGAAAAACATGATCTCATCTTGCCCTATACGCAGCTATGTTTTCCAGGGTAACAAAGCTCAAAATTTCTTTTAAAAGGATTTTACTGGATAAAATAAAAGAAAACTAATGTTCATCCACATTTCCCTGCCTAATGCCATCATTATTGCTTGGTTATAATCCTTGAACCGTTTCCTCCATTTATGATTTGTTGCCATTACTTGAGCTTCCAAAAACACTTAAAAAGTCAAAGACAATCCAAAAACCAACCACCCTACATGATTAAGATTTTTATTACAACTAAAACGATGTGGATGATACCAGTTCATCCCTTGGGATTTCATGTCCTGATGAGAAAATCCATACTTCGAATTGGTTCTTGATCTATGGCCTATAGGAAACCAGCCAAAGTTTAAATACATCAAAGATGCCTCAATATAGCCAAGGCTCAAATGCAGAAATGAAGTATTAGACTGGCCCTTCTGGAGAGGGTAATTCTGGGAAAGGAGAGAGTGGGAGTTCTGGGCTTAGGGGTGGGTGTGTGTGTGTTTAGTGCAAAGTTCAATTGGATTCGTTTTCACCAAGAATACAGTGGTTTTCTGACAAATAGTATCAATTCTAAAAGATCTAAAAATTTAAATAAGGTATAGAGTATATATGTGTGTTTTATATGTTATTATATATAAAAATATTTGTATTACACACATATGATTCAGGAAGCATATATATAAGACTTAAGAAGCTAATCCCCCTGGAAGCAGTGAATTATAACTATAGAGAGACAGAGGATGGGGTGGGTAGTGATTAAGTAGGTTATAACTAAACCATTGTAGGAACTTGCGGGGGTCCTGAAATTTGAGAAAAATCTAAAGGAAGTAAAAAAGAGCTGGGTTATTTCCTTCAAGGAACGAGTAAATCTGCAGGGCCTCTGAATCAAGGGAGGACCCCTAGGTCTCCACAGGCAAGTCCTAGGATCATAAGGCAAGTCAGATAACCCAGGGGCTGTGAGGTGAGTGGTACAGATGGAAATGAGCATGAAGCTGGGCCCCCTCCAGGGAAAGATATCATTTTTCCAAAATTGGGTTTGGAAGTAAATGAACTGGTAATAGTGCATTCATTCATTTATTCACTCATCATACATTTACTGTGCATTCACAGGAGACTATTAATATGGTAGTCCCTAATGAAGCATTCCTCCCACTTTTATGGAGTCCTCCCATATTGATTCTGGCCTTGCCCATGGAACTAGCTTCAGCCAATAGGACATGGGCAATTATGACAAGCATAGGGTTGATTAAGCTTTTCGTCTTAGAGTTTTCTCTCTTGAGAGTCTTGAAGTGTCAGGTAAGAAGTCTGCTTACACTGGTGGAGAGATTGCGTGGAGAAGGAGAGCCCCTGAGAGTACATGGAAAGAACTGAGGAACCAATTGACAGAGAGAATCAAGACTCCAGACCTATGACCACAATCAACCTTACTAGCTGAGGCTTCACCATGTGAGTGAAGAAGACATCTTGGACATTCCAGCCTCTGCAAACAAAAAGAGCAAAGACAACATTTGAGGAATCTTGGAAGGGTGAGAGTGACATAAATGGTAACCAGAGGACAGACTATAGTAGGTGGTCTCCAAAGATGGCCCCCAAATTCCTCCCCTCTCTGTACTTATATGCCATTCCTCCCATCAGGAGATAGAGTTTATTTTTCCTCCCCTTGAATGTAGCATAGCTCTGTGATTGCTTTAACTAATAGAAAGAGGCAGGCATGACATTCTGGAGCTTCCAAGCCCAGGTCTAAAGGAACTTGCAGCTCCTCCTTCCTTCTTGTAAGAAAGATTCCTCTTGGGGCACTCCCTTTCAGAACCCAGTTTCCACACCCTCAGCAGCTCAAGCTACATAAAGAGGGCACATAGAAAAAAATTGTAGGAATAGAGCCAAAAGCCACAGCTCAGTTCCCAGCTGACAGTCATCGTCAACTACCAGACAAATACGTGAGTCATCTCAGAATTTCCAGCCCAAACAGCCCCCAGATGACTGCAGCTGCAGCCAACATCAGGAGATGTAGAAGCATTGCCCAGCTGAGCTCAGTCAACCCAGGGAATTGTGGTGGATAATGAATTGGTGTTTCTTTAAGCAACTAGATTTGGGGGTGGTTTGTTACACAGCTTTGTGTTTCCAGATTCCTGACAGATATTAATCTTTGGGACTCAGTCATGAAAATTTGAGATCCCCAAGAACTCTTGCAAATTCCTGAAATCTGTTATTTTTTAAAACACTTCCAATGTTCTTTATAATCTTTACTCATGATTATGGATAGCTTAACAATATTTTAATAAATAAGATAGATTAAATTTAGTAGTATTTTCAAGATACCTATAGAGAATATTCTAACACTAGAAAATGCCAGCAAACATTAGTGGGTACTATTCAAATAATGTAACATTCAAATCTCCTAGCAAGCACTAACAGAATCATGTGTCTAAATCGCCAAATAAAGGGCTTGTTTTGCTTCCAAAACATGTTATTTCTTACAGCACCACTCATAGGATTTGTATAAACTATACTATAAATAAAACCATGCTCAAACTTATTTTATTTTCAATAAGGATTCACCATTAGAGACAGGACCACAAACACACTCATAACATGGCAACGACTCCTGCAGGGATGAAAGATAAGATTGTGAGCAATTCTTTCCAATCTGTCCCTTCCCAGCTTCCAGGAAGGTTGACCTTAACATTCAATTCTGTGTATCAGTGGTTTCTGCTCTTGCTTTCTACTGGACATCAGTGGATTTCCTATCATCGGTAACAGTATTAAATGTTAATTTTCACAAAACTATTGTTTTTCTCAATTTTGTGACTGATTTTCCCTGGGGTTCATGATTTGGAAAAACACAGAAATTTCCCAAGAAATGCCAAGGAGGAGTTCCCACATGGAAATGCTAGCAGTAATGAATAATAGCATTGACCATCAGCCTGAGTTTTTAGGTACTCTGCTAACAAAAGGTAACAAAACAAACACGGTTCCTTCAGTCACAGAGCTTACAGCCCAGCAAGTGAAAAAGATACTAAAAAAATGAGCAGAGATGTAACTACAGTCACATGTCACTTAACAGCAGGGATACATCCTAAGAAATGCATTCAGGTGGTTTCATCATTATGCAAACATCATAGAGTATACTTGCATAAATCCAGATGGGGTAGCCTATTGCTCCTGGGCAGCATGTTACTGTATGAAATATTGTAAGCATCTGCAACACCATGGCATTTGTGTATCTAAGCATAGAAAAGGTACAGTAAAAATACAATATTATAACCTCATGAGGACCACCATAGGCAGTGTGTCATTGACTGTAACATCATATGAAGCACACGACTGTATATGATTACAAACCACCATGGGTCCCACTGAAGCTGGGAAGCTGCCAAATGAGAGAAAAAAGAATAAGGTAGATTCCAAGAAGAGAATTTTAAAGAGAAGCCCACAGATTTTTGTGCCATCAAAGTAGTGACTACTAAGTTTTCCAGAAGAATAACAACTCACATCCAGATGGGGTAGCCATCTGGATGAGAACTCAGTTGAGAAGAGATTCAGATTTGGAAGCAATTCTTAGAAGGGCCATTTTGCCATGAAGAACTTCAATATAGCCACCATCCTAGGTCAACTGGAACTAGTAATTCCAGACCACTTCCATCTTCCTACAAGATAAAGTGGCTACTCAGCAAAGAACCGCGATGACCTCCTGATTTACATGATTGCTATTTACATGTCCTCACAATTTCCATCTTTTTCTTCAGGTCCATTATTTTTTCTTTATGAATATAATGCACTGTCACAATTAATGCCACATTTCCTGTAATTCGTGGAATTCTCAAGTCTCATAAATCCTCAACAAGTATCTCTGTTGTTGCTAATAATTAGTCTAGAAGGAAAGGCAAAGTTTCTTGTTTAAGCTTCTAACAAGTATATAGCATCTTCCTTAGAGATGTATGGCTCATCAAGTTAGTCTCAAAGAGATGATTCATTCTCTCGCTTAGATGCTTTCTTAGTTAATGACCCATCCGACAATAAAGTTGGCCCTCTATAACCCAAGCCCCGAGGACTTGAGAAGGGTCTATCATGTGAACTCTTCTAGACATTTGCTGTGGGCTTCATTATGGCTAACTATAAAGTGTGATAAGAAAACGACCTGGTTAATTTAAGAGTTCCACTGGTTTATGCTTTCTTGCTACTTACAGAAATCCGCTTACACCATCAGGTAATTTCCCATAGGCAGAGGACAAATTTCATAGTGACCAGAAAAGAACTTAATGCCATAGAACAAGTTAGTCCAACTAACTCCAATCACTCCCGTCGCTAAGCCTTGCTCTTCTGTTGTAAAACGCTCCATGATACCCATGAGCAGCCACCACTGAGGACTAATGTTGAGATCCCCAAGATGTAAGTTGAACTGACGTGAGAAGAATGAACAAAAGGAAGAGAAGGAAGTGGACAAAGAGAATTCAGGTGACGGATTTTTTTTTTCTCAACAATGGCTAGGATATCTGTGTCAATTAACATTTGCATGTTTTGAGAAGTTAGCATGGCTCTATGAAATCCTTTCAAAGATTTGGCATAGCTAATGATGATACCTTGGGTTTATAGGATGAATGGCTTTCCAAAACACACCATGCAATTCACAGCTGATCCTCATAACATCTCAGCATGCTAGAGGAAGGGGAAAGAGACAGGGATTGGCAACAAAGGAGCTTGCCCAAGGACCTGAGAATGGCATCAGAGGCTTGGTCTCCAGCTCCCATTTCAGAATATTCACTGTCAAATGTGATCCTCCCAGCACACAGCTCCAAAAAAGTGGTTCAGAGTCATGAATTCATTCACCCCTTCACTTAATTCCAGATAATCACATGCACTTGAGGCTTGGGAAGCCCCTTAACTGCCTCTCTTGACCCCGCCTTGGAACGTTAACCATGATCATAGGCTAACCTTAGAGTGAACATGGGGGATACTGTAGGGGAGTCAGTTTATATGGAATTTATCCAGGTGAATTTCAATCTCAATTAGACATCTTGAAACAACGTAAAATTGTATATGGGTTACTTGATCCTCACACCTCATAAATTTAATGGAATGAATTTTGATCTACCCAGCTCCTCCTGGTAAAAGACTGGTGAGTGTGGGCAAAGGACTTTCCAGTATATTTGGCATAAACGTCCCTCAGGGAAAGCCTGGCGGAGCCTAGTTTCAAACACATGTGGGCAAGCAGGGGTGGAGGGGTGGGGTGGATGGGTCCACACATCTCCTGTTGGCCAGAAGGGAAAAGGCACACCTAAGCCTCTTCTCACCTCATCTGTCCCTTGGGACATCACAGGCTAACAGAAGTTATGTGCAAATGCCTAAACAGGAAGTGTTTATTTATTTAGCCATGCTTTGTGACTCCTTCTTGCAATCCCACATTACCATTAAATGGCCCATCTTCCCTCAACTTACCCTTCTCTTTCCCACACTTCTTACAGGTAGACTCTTCAGCTCAATGAAGCCTTTCTACTGCTGTTCCTCCACTCCGATGCCTCAGGGCAAGCAATGTCACAAACATTTCTCCTCCCAGGACAACTACATAATTCATGGACCCATTGCAAAATAAAAATGTGAGGACCTTTATTCAAAAGTTATAAGTATTCAAGATGGCAACAGCAGAGTAGTAAACCAAGCTTGGATACTTCTGAGTACAGGGCCTGCATGACTGCCCATGCAATTCCATGCCCATGATACCCACCCTGCTGCCTCCTACTTGGCCATTAGACAAAAGAATGTTGCCCACTAAGCAAGCTTTGTCAATCCCCAGTCAACCATAGTTCATGGGTTGAGTTGATCTTTGTATTTAAATATTTTCTTGCCAATACAACTGTAAAATCTTCTTTAAAAATAACCATGCCCTTTTATTTTTATCCCTTAATAGGACCTAGCGCAATGCTTTGTACAGACTAGGTGTTGATGAAATGATTGTTCTCAGTAAAATTTCAGAACAATCATGAATAACACTCTGGTCAACTCAAGGGGCAACTCCACTCCTATTTAGCAAATGATATCAGACAACCTAGGGTCTTCAGGGGATCCTGGGGTCCTTCAAACAACCTAGGGTCTTCAGAGGAGCACTAGGAAAGGCTAAGGCCTTTGGGAGGAGGGCATGGTGCAAGATCCCTTTGCACCTGGACTCCACTTATTAGCGACTGCAGAAAGGACAGTCCCTGCCAGGAAGTCAGACACTGAACCTTGTTTGAACCTGGATTCCCAGGCTGTGGCAGTAAGAAACAGGGATGGGGTTAGTTAAATGGACAGTGTGGCTCCTCAGGGGCTGGCTGCAATGCTGAGGGGTGGGGGGTCATGTCCACAAAGCATTTCACTTTTAAAGCCCATGCTCATTCTTGTTGTCACTTTCCCATTGAACTACATGGCCGAGTCTCATCAGGGTGTATGTTTCCATGCTGATGTCAGTCATCTCTGTTTCGGGTCCCTCACCCACTGCAGCTTGCAGAGTGGAGGCGGTTCTTGCTCCCTGCTCTTTTGATGTTAGTTATTTTTTGATATTTTTCTCTGATGCTTTGATACCTATCAAGGTCTTAAATCTGCAGTGAGCAGGGGGTTATCCAAGAATCAAAGAACAGAGTTGGTGCAGCTGGAAGAATATGGATGGGAGGGGATGTGATTTATTTCAGAGATTTGCCACCATCCATAGTTCCAGAAAAACAATGATGTTCTTGCATTGGACAGCAACTCTTCATAGTAAGATCACAAAATGCTTTGCAAATATTGATTCATTCATCCTCCATCATGAGTATGAGTTCTGTTTTAACTGTGGATATCTGTTAGGCCTTCAGGGAAACAATTACAGGGACACCTCATTCTTCTGAAGGTCACCTCTCTGCCATCCTCCACCATCCAATATATAAATTAGAACCAGGGGGTCTCTGAATGGCCAAGAGAGATGCACCAAAGCCCTTATACTTTGTTCCTAGAGGAAGCCCTCCCTTGGAACCTGATAATTCTTATTTTAAATGCTATTCTGACAAGTTTGGTTATCTAGTTACACAGCCAACGAAAGATGAAGGGCCATAAAGGCAGGAAGAAAGGGAAGGGTGCAGGCAGGCAGAGTGAGAGCAGAGATGCGTAACAAATTAGAGTCTTGGGGGCAGAGGACAGTTTCTGACCTTATGTCCCAGAATCCCATGCAGGGCCACCCCTCCAGATGCCGTAATGCCTTCTGCATTCACATCCACCTACCTTTGCACATGCTGAACTCAGGACCTGGGATGTCCTTACTGGGATCTCTAGTCATCAACCACCTATTCATCCTTTAAGACCCAACCCATATGGCCCCTCCATGGGAGACCCTCCCATTACATATTTGTCCCACCTGCAACACTGAATTAAATGTAGATTTATATGTATATAATATATACATATATTATATATATATTATATATATAATATATATATATATATATATATATATATATATATATATACACACACATATACTTTAAGTTCTAGGGTACTTGTGCACAACGTGCAGGTTTGTTACATATGTATACATGTGCCAGGTTGGTGTGCTGCACCCATTAACTTGTCATTAACATTAGGTATTTCTCCTAATGCTATCTGTGTCTGCTCCTCTGACCAAACCAGCAGCACCTAAGGGCAGAAATCATTTTGAGTATAGATTTGTAACCACACTGTCTCAAACACAGAAAGTGCTCAAGAAATATTTGCTCAAAGAAAGAAGGAAATACCTACAGCAAGTGGACAGGGTAGCTTAAGAGGTGTGGCAACCAGAGTCCCTGAAGTTATCACTCTGAAATACAGCCCCTGGATTGAATGACAACCACAATGATTGCCCCAGATTATTTTTAAAAGGTTAAGATATGTTCCATATCCTTTGTTTGAAAAGGCAAGTACAAGTGTGATATATTTTTAGAAAGATTTTGATAATAGCTATAGAAAAATCATTTATTTGAAACATATTATCTGAATTAATATTTAATAGATGAGGAGCTACAATCAACGTTATTTTGTGTGTGTGTGCACATCAACATCATTTTTACTAAAAAGATTAAATTTAATCATAAGTAGTTATAATTACATCTAAATCATTCATTTAGCCATTTAAGCAAGTAGAAAAAAATTCAACTAAAATAATTTGGAATATAGAAATTATGTCAATACCCCTTAAAAAGAGTACATGAAATGCAAAATTGATGTAGCTATTCTTTTCTTTTTATTTAGCTTTTATTTTAAGTTCAGGGGTACAGGTACAAGCTTGTTATATAGGTAAACCCATGTCATGGGAGTTTGTTTTATAGACTATTTCATCACTCGGGTATTAAGCCTAGTATTCATTAGTTATTCTTCCTGAGCATCTCCCTCCTCCCACTCTCCACCCTCCAATAGGCCATAGTGTGTGTTGTTCCCCTCTGTGTGTCCATCTGTTCTCATCATTTAGCTCCCACTTATAAATGAGAACATGTGGTATCTTGTTTTCTGTTCTTGCATTAGTTTGCTAAGGATAATGGCCTCCAGCTCCATCCAAGTTCCTGCAAAGGACATAATCTCATTCTTTACATGGCTGCATACTATTCCATGCCGTATATGTACCACATTTTCTTTAACCCATATGCCACTGATGGGCATTTAGGTTGATTCCCGGTCTTTGCTATTATGAATAGTGTTGCAATGAACATACACGTACATACGTCTTTATACTAGAGTGATTTCTATTCCTTTGGGTATATACCCAGTAATGGGATTGCTGGGTTGAATGGTA